>NT_187691.1:0-165607 GCF_000001405.40 Homo sapiens | reverse complement strand
CATTATAATAAAAACCTTTAAATGCTCTGAGTGCCCAGCGTCAGCATGGTGATAACATACATACGAGGGAATATTGTGCAGCTGCAGTTAGTTCTTATTACATTTCACAGGCATCTTAAATGCTTTGTGAACACCGGTGCATAGATTTTTTTGTTTGGTATAGATGGCAATGATTAGATGGGTGAAATAATAAAAAAAATGGACATATAATTTTAAAAATATTGAGTGACAGAAAAAAATGAAAAAATGTTAAAGAACTTTTTGGTTATGATATTATCACTAAAAGGCCGTGTCTCCTTGCTCCCTTCTTTGGGGACGGTTCTGGGCTTGCCTGGCCCGTGGGTGGGAATTGTGGTGCTCCAAGTGCCTTCAGCTGCTGCTGGGGTCCCAGGAGCCCAGCCTAGGTGTTCTTCCATCCTCACCACCCCATGGCCTCCATGGAGCCCCACGGCAGCCTCAGGAAGGAGGGCAGTATCGTCAGAACACAGTCCTCATGGACCCCCCAAGAGACCCTTGGGCAGAATGCCCCATCCCACCCAGGTCCAGCTTCACTCAGCACGTAAACAGGAACACGGCTGCAGGCAGGCTCCACGCACCCCGTCCCCAGGGAAGCCGCAGCCCTCGTCCCACGTATCCCGGGCAGGCATCTGTAACTGAGGGCTGCGTGGTCGGGTGAGCAGCGAGGCACATGCTGGCTGGGCGGGGAGGGGCGGCCCTGAGTGGTCGTCTTGCTCAGTGCTAGAGGGGCTCTGAGCCGAAGGTCTGAGGGTCCTGGAGCTGCCATGGCAGATCCCCACAGTCTCGGCAGCTCAAAACAACAGGGACTCATTCTCTCCCCGCTCAGCAGGGAGGGGTCTGAAATCGAGTCCATGGGCCGTGCTCCCTCCAGAGGCTCCAGGGGAGGACCCTGCCACCTCCACCAGCTTCTGTGGCTCCAGGCGTCCCTGGGCCGCGGCCACAATGCTGCACCTCTGCCTCGGTCTCCAGGCGACCTCCTCCTCTGTCTGCGTCTAACCTCCCTCTGCCTCTGTGTAAGGACACTTGCCGTGCATGTAGGGCCAACGAGTTAATCCAGAATGACCTCCTTATCTCAAGATCTTTAACTTAAACACAGCCACAAAGACCTGCCTCCTATTTGAAGAGAGGTTCTCTGCACAGTTCCAGGGTCAGGAGGTGAACACCAGGTGGCCCAGCCTCAGCCACCCCAGTGATGATGTGTGAGGTTTCAGAACAGCTGTGCTGCCCTGTTAGGAGCTATACACGCAGAAAGGCAACTCCGCCAGCGTCAGGGGTGCCGGATGCATGCAGGATCAGAAGGCGTCGGATTTCCCAGGGAAGCTGGGGAGCAAGGATCCTGCACCAAGGGAGGCAGGAGGCCGGAGACCAGCCCAGGCCCAGTCCAGGAGGAGCCTGGCCAGGAGTCCCACCAAAGCCACTGGAGCCTCCGTGACCCAGCCCTGGAGGGTCAGCACTGTCCCTCAAACGGATTCTTCACACACAGGTCTCTCTGTCTGTGGGGGCTGCAGGGCCAGTGCCTGAGGAGCCCGGACTTCACACAGGGGTCTCTCTGTCTGTGGGGGCTGCAGAGCCGGTGCCTGGGGAGCCCGGACTGCCGGAAACCTTTGCGGTGGGAGGCTGCAGATGGGACTTCTTGGCCTGTGTTTATGTGGAGCCCAGGCTGCGGGCACCACAGCCAGGCACAGGTCAGGGGTAAGTTGTGGGTGATGTAAGGACTAGAAGCGTAAGTAATGGCCTGACCCCCATGTCCTGGCTGTGCTGTGCGGTGGGAAAGACATGGGCTCCGGCGGCTGCTGGGGATGGCCTGGCTTGCACCTGCTGGGTCCCCCCCTGGCCACCAGCCTCACCCAAGGGCAGTTGGTGACTGCCTGCCTCACTCCTGCCAACCCTCAGGGGCCTAGGAGTCCTGCGTGGTGGGTCTAGGAACCATGCTGGAGGACAGGCCTGTGCCAGGGCCACCAGGATGTCTATGGCAGGAGCCGGTGCTGGCGAACCCCACACCTTGAGCCCCAGAGCCAGGATCCTCAGCCCAGGAAAGGGACCAGAGGCGGGAAAACCACACGGCAAAGGCTGTCCCGTGAGGTCACGGCTCCGTCACCGCTGCCCACACACGGAAGGCAGCCGCGGCTGGGTGAAGCCATCTTCACAGACATGCCGTCCTTGAGGCTCTCACACATGCACACAGACGCTCCGTCCTCTCCCACCCGCCCCCCCGCCACCCCGGGCAGGCCAGGAAGTCCCATCTGGGGCCTCCCACCCCGAGGGTTGCCGTCAGTCCGTGTGCCCAGGCATCGGGGCCTGAAGCCTCCACAGACAGCGAGACCTGTGTACGAAGCAGACTCTGTCCTAGGGACAGTGCTGACCCTACAAGGCTGGGTCACTGGAGGCTCCCCGGGTCCAGTGGCTTTGGTGGGACTCCTGGCCAGGCTCCTCCTGGGCCGGGCTGGTCTCCGGCCTCCTGCCTCCCTTGGTGGAGCACCCTTGCTCCCCAGCACCTCCCAGGTTCACACAGCTCCTCCCTGGGGCTGCGCACTGACCCAGGGGCAGGAGGTGGGCCATCCTCTCGGTGGACTGAAGACCTTGTCCGAAGGGAAAGCAGGGCCGGCCCAAGGCCTGGCTGGAAGAGTGGGTCTTGGTGGCAAAGGCGGCCCGTGGGGGCAGCCCACGCGAATGCTTCCCCGGCGCCCTGAGCCCCTGACCGCGGCTGAGCCTGCGGTACTCTGGCCCCTCTCGTGGAAAGATGACCTGGGTCTACCATGCTCAGTATCACCCAAAAATTCCTACAGAAGTCTCTCGGGACAAGAAAAGGCCTTCTTCCCTCCCTCCTCCTTTCCTCTTCCTTTCTTTCATCAGGGAACAGCTTCCGGCTGCCTGCACTGTTTGGGCGCCGTCATAAGGAGCCGTGACGGCCTTCACAGAGCTCCGGGGCTCACGGGTGTGGCTGACCTGCCACAAATGGGGCGACAGAGGAGAGGGAGGGTCGGGCACCGATGGCTCAGGAGGGAAGAGATCCCTTCTGTATGGGGAGACGGGGGCTTCCTGGAGGGCACTGGAGCGAGGGGCTCACCAGAGTGAGACATCCAAGGGATCTGGGGGACCGGCCATGGGACACTGCGGTCCCACGTGGCTCCTGGATGTGCTGTGTGTTTGCTGAGCTGGAGGGGACGGGGAGCCCATGTGTGGGAGAGGGAGAGGCCATGCACGCCCTGAGTCGGGCTTTACAAAAACCTTCTGGGGGCAGCAGGAGAGGAGCCACGCAGAGGCAGAGCCAGGGAGAGGCGGTGGGGTAGTGAGGGGGATGTCGGGGTGCACGGGTTAGGAGACCCCCGAGTCCTGGGACCTGCATGCTGATAGTCAAGGTTGCAGAGGCGGCTGCTGTGGTGACCACAGGGCAGGGAGAGGCAGTGGGGTAGTGAGGGAATGTCGGGGTGCACAGCACCAGACCCTCCCAGATCTTCTGATTCAGTCCTGGGGGGACCCTACCCCAGATCTTCCAATTCAGTCCTGGTTCGGCCTGAGAATTTGCATTTTTAACATGTCCAGGGACCACAGTTTGAAAACCTCCACGGCTGACATGTAATGGGATGACATGGTCCAATAAATGAAGGAAAAATAACAGGTGGCAACCTCAGGCAGCTTCATCCCAACCAGTAAGAAAGTAAATCCTTTTGTAAACTAAGAGGAAGTATTAATATGGGCGTTTGAGCAAACATTTAAGTGTTAGAACAAAGAATTAAAAACTAGCACAGGCACCCCTGAAGCATGATAGGATGGCAACAGAAGGGCTGATTTAGTTTCCAAGAAATAACTGACAGGCAGTGTTGTGCGTGTGTCTACTACTTAGGAACCCAAAACAAACCTTCAGACCGTTTTCATGAGTACTGAGACCAAGAAAACCACTGGGCAGTGGGTGGTCTGGAAATGTAAATGTTGATGGTACTCCAGTAATGAGTCATGGAACAATGTTTCATATTGAAAATGTTTTTGTAAATGTGGGTTTCAAGGTTTCAAAGTGAACCCGTATGTGTTAGGAGAAAGGACACACCAAAGAAGTAAAATAATTGGGTCAATATAAAAAGAAAGTAGAATACTGCCCAGAGAGAAGATGTGGATAATTCCTAACACGGATCAAAGGCACCAAAAAGGTGAGCTGTGAGTAAGATATTCAGACCTGCACCATCCCCTGCATTAGACACAGACAACATCTTGGTAGGCAACTGGGTGAAAATTCAGAGACAACCCTAGGAACTATGAGGATGAAAAAAGTTAGCATTCATGGAATGAGGCACTGACGAAACTGAAAAGCTGGAATAACCCCATGAAATAACGAGAATAATTGTAGTATTCTGAACCGGGGCACAGGACACAGGACTGGAGTGGAAGGCCGCATGAGACCACCCCGGGAAAGACCCAGGGATCACACTGGCCCAAAGGTGGGCACTTCCCAACTCCGGGATTTGTGATACAGGCACTCCAGGCTCCACCATAGAACTGTGTCCAGCACGAAGGCAGTGCTGTCTTGCGGGAGGCAGGGCTGCACCACCACAGGGGCGGGAAGGGGCCCGGCAGGGAGGCGCCCAGTGTTTCCAGCTGCACCGGTCGGGGACCGCGCTGATGCAGAGCGCGGGGGCGCAGGTTAAACCTAAAGGAGGGAAGCTTTTGGGGGCGGAACAGACAACGGAGAACGCTGCACACTGCCCTTCCCACGCGAATTGTGCTTTGCCTTTTTTTTTTTTTTTTTTTTTTTTGAGACGGAGTTTTGCTCTTGTTGCCCAGGCCTGGAGTGCAATGGCCTGATCTCGGCTCACTGCAACCTCCGCCTCCCGGGTTCAAGCAATTCTCCTGCCTCAGCGTCCCGAGTAGCTGGGATTACAGGCGTGCGCCACCACGCCCGGCTAATTTTGTATTTTTAGTAGATACTGGGTTTCTCCATATTGGCCAGGTTGGTCTCGAACTCCTGACTTCAGGTGATCCACCGGCCTCGGCCTCCCAAAGTGCTGGGATTACACGCGTCAGCCACCGCACCCGGCCTGCTTGCTTTTTTTTTTTTTTTTTTTGCAGAGTCTCGCTGTCCACCGGGCTGGAGCTGCAGTGATCTCGGCTCCCTGCGGCCTCGACCTCCCGGGCTCAGGCGATCCTCCCGCCTCAGCCCACGGAGTACATGGGACCACAGGAGCCCACCACGCCCGACTACTTGCTGTAATTTTTGTAGGGATGGGGTCTAGCCCCGCTGCCCAGGCTGGTCCGCACTGCTGGGCTCAAGAGCTCCGCCCGCCTCCGCCTCACAAAGCGCAGGGATCCCAGGTGTGAGCTACCGCGCCCCGCCCAGAGTTTCCGACTGTTAGCGTGAATCATATTCACGTCAAAACTTCTTTTTATACAAGAACTAAAAGGCAAACGAAATCCCTGCTCCATCACTGCCTGTCCCGGGTCGCGGCGCGGGACATTTCCTCCAAGCGCCTTCCCGGCCCCGCGCGCAGGTGGCCTGCGCCGGAGGATCCCGGACAACGCGCATTTCCTGCGCCCCCGGAAGCGGCGGTAACGCCTGGCCCTGCCCCCGGCAGAGGCGGAAGCACAGTCGCTCTGAGGTCGCCCGTGGCCGCAGGTGCCTCAGCCCAGCCGCGCGCCTTGGCCCTTGGCCGCCTACTCCTACCGCCCCGGCCTTGGGCGGCCCTGGGCCTGCTGCGGGCGCGGCGCTGCCCGACCAGAGCTTCCTGTGGAACGTCTTCCAGAGCTGCCACCTGGCACCGCCCCGGCACCTCCCGCCTCCCCCGCAGCTGCCCCGGACCCGTGTCCCGACCCCCGCGGCCAACCCCGTTCCCTGCCGGTTGCCCCGCGGCCTCCCCCGTCACCTGCCGGGTCCCCAGCGGCCTCCCCCGTCCCCTGCCCCGACCTCCGCCGTCTCCCCCGCCCCTGCCCGGACCCCCGCGGGCGCCCCCGAACCCTACCCCGACCGACGCGGCCGCCCCCATCCCCTGCCCCGACCCCCGCGGCCGCCCCCATCCCCTTCCGGGTCCCCCGCGGTCTCCCCCGTCCGCTGCCCGGTCTCCTGGGGCCGCCCCTGCCTCCTGCCCGGTCCCTGTCCTGTGCGTCGGGCGCTTCCCAAGGTGCAGAGGGCGCCACTGCAGACCCGAGGTCGCGGCCACCGGCTCCTGGGCCAGGCCCCGTTTCTCGCCTCGAGCCGTCGGGGGAGGGTCTCCAGGGTGCTTGTTTGGGGAAAGCGGAAACAGACTGTCTGGGCCGCTGTTAAAATGTCAGCAGCCAAGGAAGAAGCAGCGACCTGGCGTCTGCTCGGGCCAGGTGACCTTTATGGCGGCGCCTTCTGTCCCTGGTCGCTTTTCCACTGAATGAATGACCGAAACTGTAGTAACTCATGGCCAGGGAATGGCTTAGTTATCTGAGGGAATCTTGTCTTGTCTGTGAAAAAGGGAAACTGGTGCAAATGGGAATTCAGACAGGTCAGGAGGGGAAGGAAGGGAAGGATTGAGGTGGGAAAAGAGAGAGAAAGATGATTGTCCTCTTAGGGGAAGAACACACTTGGACGTGGCTCCTGGGGCACTTCCTTGATTCCGCTGTACTCCTCAGCGGGACCGGAGAGGCGGAGGTTCCAGGAGGGAGCCTTCCAGAGTCGGTGCAGGGTTGACAGGAGACGTTTGTTTTGCTTTTCCTGAACTTTCGATCGCCAGCTTGTTTGGTCTTCTTGATGTTATAGGGTTGATAGAGAGGAGTGGAGTGATATCGGACACCCAGCTTCAGCAAGCTCTCTCCAAGGGTGAGTGGGCCAGTGGGACCTGGGTCTCCGGACCAAGAAGCCGCGAGCCTGCCCTGCTCACAGTGGATAACTTTCTTTCTGAAGTTGATTTTCCAAGGACAAAGGAATCATTAGGACAAATTATTACTGCTTCATGGTGGAGATGCTTCTGGTTTATTTTGTGGCTACCGCTGTTACTGCTTGGAGTGCCTCACCGAGCCAGCTAACAACGGCGTGCGTGAGCGCAGGGAAAGGCTTCTTGAGAAATGAAAACTAGGTTGTAGGTTTAGGAGGGGAATAGGAAGGTTAGCTCTGTCCAGCCGAAAGCCTTTTGGTAAGTTGGGGGTCCTTGAATTTCCTGGGTGACTGCATCTTGGTGACTTCTCTGAATAGACCTTCGAGGGCACTGGGGGGTGATTGTTGGAGGGCTTGGGGAGCTCAGGCAGCACTTGTGTGGGAACGTGGCTGTTACAGGAACTGCAGAAACTGGGACTGGGTTCCTGGGGAAAGGATTGGGGGTGTTGGAGGCGCTGGCAGGGGAGTTATGGGGAGGCGTTCTTATCAGTGTGCGAATATTGGGCGTTCAGGCAGCGGGAAATCTGGGTCCTTGGCGTGTTGTGAGCTCCCTGGAGTTACGTTCTTGCCAGTTTCAGCTCAATTGATCCCCCTCCCCTGAGCTATCATTGGATACATTTTACTTCATTGAACACCTGACTGCTGCTTTTTCTGTAATCCCTCAGGGGCAGTCATCTTTTCTGATTCTGTGTATAGTTTGCCTTTCCAGATCCGTGCCATTTAAGCTAGAAAAGGGGTCAGTTTTGAGATGTTGTGAAAATGTTGAAAGGCTCCTCGTTATTAGTGGGAAGTATCTGATGTTGCCAGAGACTGAACTGGGGCGCGGGGAGCACTACGGCTGCTAGACACTGCCTCACTGCGCTGTGGGTGGTGGGGGGGGAGGTGCTGGATTCAGTCTTACTGCCTAATGATTTGTGAGGATTTGTGTTTTCAGAGTAACATGTTTACCTTATGTTATCAGTTCCTAATATGTGACGTATGGGCCACAGATGCTGGTGTATTATTTCACATGCATTTATATAGATTGTTTTCAGGGAATTCAGAAATTCTGTTATCTCTACACTAGTGATTGTGCTTTCTTGATTTTTCTCTTTTCATTATTCTTAAATCCTCCTTTTTTTATTTGCATCTCAGTTTATTTATACTCGGGAAGTGCAAGACATGGCGACTAGAAAGAGATGTCAAGAGAACCCGGAATCCAGTAGGCTACAATTTGGCAAATCTTAGCTTAAAACTTCCTAAATGTTGACCACAGTGGATGCAAATGGCTCTGTGCATCGTCTGTTCAATATGGTCAGGTGACCACCCAGGTTCACGTGGTTTGTCACCAGGGTGATACGAGCCACACGGAGTGCCCTCCTCAGAGGCCATGTCTCAGAGACGTTTATTTTGAGTGGTTTTCCAGCGAGTGATGCAAGATTTATGATCCATTTTAACAGCTGCTTTTTATGCATTTGCTCAAATTTTTAGATTTTAAGTTTAGTTTTAGGTTTTCTGTTAATTTGCTCAACTAGGAGTGGTGGTCAAATACTGGACCTCATTAGCATGGTAGCCTGCCCTCCTTGGCAGGCTCCACTGGAGTGCCTTGGGGCCTGCCTGGATTCCAGTCCTGGCTCTACCAGTTTTGTGTCCTCGCCGTTACTGGGAGGGAGTATTGAGGAAATGCATGCGAGGTGCCTCCGTGATTCCTGGCACGGAGCAAGTGCTCAGTAATTGTCAGCTGTGAGTATTAGTAGTAGCTAATACACTACTACTATTCTTGGCTAACAAGCCAGCTCAAAGCTTTGATGGTTTTCCATTACCTGATGATGGTGATGATGGTTTCCACTTCCTGAACACTCACACCCCTGGGCTAGGCACTTAACCCAAATCCAAGGTCAGCGTTATTGTTTGGAGGTGGGGGAGACACCTCCTGCTCTGACTCGTGTGTTTGGGTTCCCGTATTTTCACCAGAGGGTGTTAGTCCTGCCCCAGTTCAGCTGGTCCTCAAAGCGTATATAGCTCTTTAACCCTCAGCAAGTGTCAGTCAGAACATAATCTTGATTTCAGCTGCTACTAAATATCTACCAGGAGCCTGCTTGAGAGAGAGAATTGCCTGACAGGTGCTGAGTCCACCATTCCTGAGATACTTTGAAATCAGTGTCTGGCTTAACCCAAGCTGTGTATGGGGACCCTCTCACCGTGGTCCCAATGGAGTCGCTTTTGTTAGGCGCCCCCCTTTACCTTGGGCTCTGAGCTTCCTCTGCCTTTCATCTCTGCAGGATGAAGCCCCACTCGCCCTTCAGGATGCAAAGCCCTCCTCTATAAAGTGCATGCGGGGCCAGATGCAGTGGCTCACGTCTGACCTCCCAACACTTTGGGAGGCCGAGGCAGGGGGATCGTTTGAGACCAGCCTGGACAACATTGTGAGACCCTGTTCCTTGAATTGCCCTGGGAGATTTCCTCAGCTTGTACTGGAGGTGTGTGGCCCCATGAAGCCCATAGTCACCGTTCACCCTGAGAGACGCTGGCTTTGGGGCTGACACACCTGCTGCGGGGCAGCCCCAGGAGATGGCCACCCTGTTTCTCCTGGAGCTGGAGCTGCGCGTCTTCTCAGAAACTGTGGTGGCTGTCCTGTTTTGTTTGCATCTTATAAACCTTTACCTGATTACATTTTCCTCTTCAATTTAGCTGCTAGAAAACTTAAAGTCAGATTGGTGGCTCACCAGTAATGAGAGTTTAGAGTAGAGGTAAACTTTATGACATAGTCTTAGACTCTTCACTTTCTCCTCAGCCAACATGATTCACATTTACTTTATTTTGCTGTACTGTGAGTGTCTTTGTGTTTCCTGAATTCCTTCTGGAATAAGGCAGGTTGTTAGTAAGCACAGGTTTCTGGTCCATCTCATAGCCTCAGGCAGTGGGCGGTGCTGTCCGTGCTCCCTTTCTGGGTTACCTGTGGTAGCTCTGAAGTTGCAGGGCTGCGATTTGAAGCCTGATTTAGTACACCGTGTTTCTGTTGTGTTCTGTGGTGGTTTGCTCCTCACATGTGAGCATTCACCCTGTGGCCCTGTGTTTTTCCACCACACCTCTGCCTGGTGGCATCCTACTGGATGTCTCAGCTGAGCCACTCTGTTCTGAAGATGCCCTTGTCCTCCACCCCTTTGCTTTGGGCTCTGAGCTTCTTCTGCCTTTCATCTCTGTAGGATGAAGCCCCACCCGCCCTTCAGGATGCCAGCCTTGGCAACATTGTGAGACCCTGTTTCTACAAAAAGTAAACGTGTAGTGGTGCACGCCTGTAGTTCCAGCTACTTGGGAGGCTGAGATGGGAAGATCACTTGAGCCTGGGAGGTTGAGGCTGCATTGAGCTGAGATCAAGCCACGGCACTCCAGCCTGGGAGACAGAGCGAAACCCCATCTCAAAAAAACAAAGAAAGTGGATGCGCGCTGCTCCTGCCATTGGATCATCGCAGCATTTTTCTTTTCTCTGATATGCGCCTTTTTCCTCATCGTGGGGGCTCATGTTTTCGTACTTTTCTCTCGCTACTAGATTGTGAGCTGCGTGAAGGAAGGTTCATAGTCGTGTTGTATGTACAGGCACACAAAATTTGTGCTTGGATAGACACATATCAATCCGCTTCCTTCTCCTCTCTGAGTTTCTTTATTTAAAAAAAAAATTAGAGATGGAGTCTCACTGTCTTGCCCAGGCTGGTCTCAAACTCCTAGGCTCAAGCGATCCTCCCGCCTCTACTAATATGAATTATTAGCCTATACTAATATGAATTCCTATACTAATATGATTGAAATTAGTTTGACTTGTATAATAATTGTTCTCCCAGATTGGGCTTCTGTTTTGATAGTAGAACTAAATTATTAGGCTATTTCAAGAAATTAATATATTACTGGTAGAAAAACTGAAGCTACAAAATGGCCTGGTTTCTCACTTCAGTTAAATTTGTGCTTCTGAGTGCTTGTATTGTAGGTGAAACCGCACTGAGAAGGTATTTGTGGCCCGTATGCTGATTGATTGATGAGACTTCTTTGCACAGGAGAGCTGCTAAAAATTATTACGGTGAACAGGTATGAAGAAGACTGTTCTCTGCCCTTCTTTTTGCAATAAAATGTTACAAACTATCTTGAGATTGATCCCTTTTCGGGTGTTTGGGTTTTTTTTAACATTCACATATTTCTTGGAATTATAAGAAATTAACTTTGTGCTTCTGAAGTGGGTTTCCCTTAATATAACACTGATGTATTTGTAAGGGGCATTTTTAAAGTTGTACTTTAAAAAATAATAATTCTTACATTCGTTTGAAGGTTTTTTGTTTGTTTGTTTGTTTGTTTTTGAGATGAAGGCTTGCCCTGTCACCCAGGCTGGAGTGCAGTGGCATTGATCTTGGCTCACTGCAACCTCTGCATCTGGAGTTCAAGCAATTCTCCTGCCTCAGCCTCCTGAGTAGCTGGGACTACAGGCACCTGCCACCACGCCCAGCTAATTTTTTGTATTTTTAATAGAGATGGGGTTTCACCGTGTTAGCCAGGATGGTCTCAATCTCCTGACCTCATGATCCACCCACCTCGGCCTCCCAAAGTGCTGGGATTACAGGCGTGAGCCGGGGGCCAACATGGTGAAACTCTATCTCTACTAAAAATACAAAATTAGCCGGGAATGGTGGTGTGCGCCTGTAATCCCAGCTACTCGGGAGGCTGAGGCATGAGAATCACTTGAACCTGGGAGGCAGAGGTTGCAGTGAGCTGAGATAGCGCCACTACAGTCCAGCCTGGGGGACAGTGAGACTCCATCTCAAAAAAAAAAAACAAAAAAAGAATAGAATAACTCTTGTTTAGGTGTTACAAAATCCAGGCCAGACCAATCTAAACTTTAATCTCATACCCAGTTCCTAGATGAGTCCCTTCTCCAGCTCAGGTTCGGCCTAAGCCTCAGGGTTCCTTGCTTGGTGGGCACCACCTGCTCCCTTCCCCGCCTTTGTTCCTCTTTTTCCTCTGCTGGCTCCTCCGGGGTTGGGTGTGTTCAGAGGCAGAGACAGGCTAAAGGTCTTTGGCTTTTAGGTTCTGTTGATGGGTGAGTTCCAGATATAGCTTTCTCTTGTAGGATATTTCATTTATTTATCTATTAAAAATATTTATTTAGAACACACCATTCATGTGCCAGACCCTGTTCCAGGAACTGGGGAGAGGGTGATAAATGAGATCAACAAAAATACCTGCCCACATTAAGCTCCTGTTCTAGGGAAGACAAAAAAGAAAGAAAATACACGTGTCCTTAGTACATTAGAAGGTTCCAAGTACTGTAGAGAAAAATAAAGTAGGTTGGACTCGGTGGCTCATGCCTGTAATCCCAGCACTTTGCGAGGCTGAGGTGGGAGGATTACTTGAGCTCAGGAATTTGAGACCAGCCTGGGCAACATGGCAAATCCTGTCTCTACCAAAATAAAAAAAAAAAAATTAGCTGGATATGGTGGCGTGCACCTGTAGTCCCAGCCACTGGGGAGGCTGAGGAGGGAGAATTGCTTCAGCCCAGGAGGTGAAGGTTGCAGTAAGCTGAGATCGTGCCATTGCACTCCAGCCTGAGTGACAGAGCCAAACCCTGTCTCAAAAACAAGGAAAGAAAGAAAATGAAAAAAAGAAAGCAGAGATGGGGCAAGCAGGGGAGAGGGCTGGTGCTGGGGTCACAGCGGAGGGGCTGGGGATGCACGGGAGGGGCTGGGGATGTGAGCTTTCCTGAGTTCCCACAGTTCTCTGCCCCTCTCCTGTCTCATGGCACAAGGGCCTCCTGGGGCTTGCGGTGGTTTTGCGCCAAGCTAATATCTTGTTCTTCCCAACAGACGGAGGCCCATTGAGGCTTCTGTGTCCTCCACGGGGACCAGCATTGGGCTAAACCTGCAGACACCATTGCAAAGGGAATTCAGGCAAACCCGCTGGTGAAAAATGATTCCAGCGTGGGGACAGAGGCTGACATTTCTCGCGTGGGTGATTTAATGTTGGGCCTCAATTTTTCACTCCCCCCGTAAGAGTATGACATAGCCACAACCTTGCCAGGGCCCGAGGGAGGGTGGATGGACTTATCCGTCCCATAGGTGTTGCTCGTGGCTGGGTGACTTGCTTCTGCCAACGAGATTTTCACAGACACGGCACAAGCAGAAGCCTGGAATGTGTGGGCACTGCCAGGCCTGCCGTCTAAGGCTCTTGATTTTCCCCATGAGATGCACGTGCCCCAGGGAACGGCGGCTCTGGCTGTGGGATGAGAGGCGTGTGGAGCAGTCATGGTTCCCATCCTTAGCCTGGAGTCAAGGCCAGACTAGATCAGCCTAAGCCCAGCCACGCCACGGGTGCAGGAGTGAAGAGCAAATGCTAACTGTCCATGGAATTGACTTTCAAAGGGGCGTGTCATGTGCCTCATCCCAGCAACAGGGAAGGCATTTCTCTATCAGTCAGTTGGTAAATGATTATTGACAAACAATGTGCTGGGAAGGTGGAGTGATTTGAGTAGATTTGGCCTCTATTCTCATGGAGCTTCCTTTCTAGAGGGGAAGGCAGATGATGGATGGATAAATATAAATGATTCTAATAGGTTGGTGCAGCAGTCATTAAAAGTAATGGCGAAAAAAAAAACAAAAGAAACGGGGAGGAGCCGTTGCTGCCGTTCATTAATAGTAATGGCAAAACCCGCGATGACTTGTGCGCCAACCTAACCCAGTAACCACGGGTGTGCAAATGTGGCAATGGGCAAGTTCCGAGTGCTAGGAGAGCATCTAGCTTCCCGGAGTCAGGAGACGGGGGTTGGCAACCTAACCAAGGTTAAGTCCAAGTGAGGGGGGTGGGCAGGGAGCGATATTTCAGTGGAGACTCCAAGGATGAATGGTATTTAGAGAGTAAACCCCGATAGGGTGTTTGTCTGGCACAGAGAAGAGCCTGTGCAAAAGCTGGTGGGGTGAGAGGACACCGTGTATTCATCCACCTGAGGGGCGACCAGCAGGCTGGAGCTCAGTGGGTTGAGAGGAGGATGCAGAGCCCGGGAAAGGCACCCTAGGCAGAGGGCACAGAAGCGCAAAGGCCTGGAGTGAGGCCTGAGCCTGTGTGGTTTGAGGAACGGACAGAGGCCTGTCCGTCAGGAAGGGAACGGCACCGGGGAGAGACCTTAGGCCACAGCAGAGGGCAGGGCAGAGGGCAGGGCCGTGCTGGGCACTGTGGGCTGTGGATGGTGCTGGCATTTAAGAGGGGAGACCATAGACCAGGGCAGAGGGCAGGGCCGTGCTGGGCACTTCGGGCTGTGGATGGGAGCTGGCATTTATGCTCAGGTGATGGGAATGTGTTAAAAGATTTTAAGGAGGGGAGTAACAGTTGGGATTAATGTGTATTCTGGGAATCTCAACAAAGTAAATTCATAGTTTGAATTTTCATAAGACTTCTGCACAGGCAGAGAGAAATAAGATCATGTCTACAGCTGTGTGATGATTTTATTGAAAAACATTACTAAGTTTTTAAACGTGATTTCAAATGGTGTGTTTCTGTTTCACCTTGGACATAAGTAGATTGCAAGGCTAATGGAAAGTAGAAAAGTTAATTCATGAACATAAAAGAGATATCAATTTGAAAACAAAACGTTTATTCATTTACTTCCGCTGCAGATTTCTTGACTGCTGAATTTCATGAGAAGGGATTGTTCAGGGAGGGACATGGGGCTGAAGACCTGGAGAGGAGGTGGTGCTACCGCTGTTCAAATCTGAGGGTGGTGGAGATGGAGCCTTGGGGAGGAGCAGGTGCTGCCTTTTAAGTCTATGAGAGTCGTTGAGCTGGAGGTCCAGGGAGGAGCCAGTGCTCCCACTGATGTCTTAGGTTGTGGAGCTGAAGACAATGAAGGAGCCAGTGTGGCTGTTCTGTGAGACTCGTGGAGCTGGAGATCCAGGTGGGAGAGGTGTTTTAGCTCGGGGAAGAGCTGATGTTCTACCTTGAGGGTCGTGCAGCTGCAGACCCGGGGAGGAGCTGATGTTCTAGATTGAGGGTCGTGCAGCTGCAGACCCGGGGAGGAGCTGATGTTCTAGATTGAGGGTCGTGCAGCTGCAGACCCGGGGAGGAGCTGATGTTCTAGATTGAGGGTCGTGCAGCTGCAGACCCGGGGAGGAGCTGATGTTCTAGATTGAGGGTCGTGCAGCTGCAGACCCGGGGAGGAGCTGATGTTCTAGATTGAGGGTCGTGCAGCTGCAGACCCGGGGAGGAGCTGATGTTCTAGATTGAGGGTCGTGCAGCTGCAGACCCGGGGAGGAGCTGATGTTCTAGATTGAGGGTCGTGCAGCTGCAGACCCGGGGAGGAGCTGATGTTCTAGATTGAGGGTCGTGCAGCTGCAGACCCGGGGAGGAGCTGATGTTCTAGATTGAGGGTCGTGCAGCTGCAGACCCGGGGAGGAGCTGATGTTCTAGATAGAGGGTCATGCAGCTGAAGACTCGGGGAGGAGCTGATGTTGTAGTTTGAGGGTCATGCAGTTGAGGACTTTGGGAGGAGCTGATGTTGTTCGTGTTGAGGGTCTTTCAGCTGGGGACTCAGGGAGGAGCTGATAATCTTGATTAAGGGTCATGGAGCTGGAGACCCAGACAGGAGCTGATGTTCTAGTTAGTGGATCTTCCAGCTACAGAGTCAGAGAGGAGCTGATGTTCTAGATTGAGGGTCATGCAGCTGAATACTCGGGGAGGAGCTGATGTTGTAGTTTGAGGGTCATGCAGTTGAGGACTTCGGGAGGAGCTGATGTTGTTCACGTTGAGGGTCTTTCAGCTGGGGACTCAGAGAGGAGCTGATAATCTTGATTGAGGGTCATGGAGCTGGAAACCTAGACAGGAGTTGATGTTCTAGTTAGTGGATCTTCCAGCTGCAGACCCAGGGAGGAGCTGATGTTCTAGTTTGAGGGTCGTGCAGCTGAAGACCCGGGGAGGAGCTGATGTTCTAGATTGAGGGTCGTGGAGCTGCAGACGCGGAGAGGAGCTGATGTTCTAGTTTGAGGGTCGTGCAGCTGGAGACCTGGAGAGGAGCTGATGTTCTAGTTTGAGGTTCTTGCAGCTGCAGACCTGGAGAGGAGCTGATGTTCTAGATTGAGGGTCGTGCAGCTGCACACTTGGAGAGGAGCTGATGTTCTAGATTGAGGGTCTTGCAGCTGCAGACCTGGAGAGGAGCTGATGTTCTAGTTTGAGGATCTTGCAGCTGCAGACCCGGAGAGGAGCTGATGTTCTACTTTGAGGGTCGTGCAGCTGGAGACCTGGAGAGGAGCTGATGTTCTAGTTTGAGGGTCATGCAGGTGAAGACTCGGGGAGGAGCTGATGTTCTAGTTTGAAGGTCTTGCAGCTGCAGACCTGGAGAGGAGCTGATGTTCTAGTTTGAAGGTCTTGCAGCTGCAGACCTGGAGAGGAGCTGATGTTCTAGATTGAGGGTCGTGCAGCTGAAGACTCGGGGAGGAGCTGATGTTCTAGATTAAGGGTCATGCAGCTGAAGACTCAGGGAGGAGCTGAGGTTCTAGTTTGAGGGTCGTGCAGCTGAAGACTTGGGAGGAGCTGAGATTCTAGTTTGAGGGTCGTGCAGCAGAAGACTCAGGGAGGAGCTGATGTTCTAGATTGAGGGCCCTACAGCTGCAGACCTGAAGAGGTGCTGATGTTCGAGATTGAGGGTCGTGCAGCTGAATACTCGGAGAGGAGCTGATGTTATAGTTTGAGGGCCCTACAGCTGAAGACCCGGAGAGTATCTGATCTTCGAGATTGAGGGTCATGCAGCTGAAGACTCCGGGAGGAGCTGAGTTGCTAATTTGAGGGTCTTGCAGCTGCTGACTTGGGGAGGAGCTGATGTTCTAGTTTGAGGGCCCTACAGTTGGAAATCTGTACAGGAGCTGATGTTCTAGTTTGAGGGTCATGCAGGTGAAAAATCGGGGAGGAGCTGATATTCTAGTTTGAGGGCCCTGCAGCTAGAGATGCAGACAGGAGCTGATGTTGTAGTTTGAGGGTCGTACAGCTGAAGATTCAGGGAGGAGCTGCTCGTGTATTTTTAGGGTCATGCAGCTGCAGACCCGGAGAGGAGCTGATGTTAAAGATTGAGGGTCATGCAGCTGAAGACTCTGGGAGGAGCTGACGTTCTAATTTGAGGTCCCTACAGGTGGACACCGAGAGAGGAGCTTATGTTCTAGATTGAGGGTCATGCAGCAGAAGACTCGGGGAAGAGCTGAGGTTGTAGTTTGAGGGTCGTGCAGCTGGAGAACCAGACAGGAGCTGATGTTGTAGATTGAGCGTCGTGCAGCTGAAGACTCAGGGAGGAGCTGATGTTGTTCGTTTTGAGGGTGTTTCAGCTGGAGACTCAGGGAGGAGCTGACGTTCTAGATTGAGGGTCTTGCAGCTGCAGACCTGTAGAGGAACTGATGTTCTAGATTGAGGGTCACGCAGCTGAAGACTTGGGGAGAAGCTGATGTTCTAACTTGAGGGTCGTGCAGCTGAGGACTCGGGGAGGAGCTGATGTTGACAGCTGTGCAGCTGGAGATCCGGCGGGGAGCTGATGTTCCGGTTTGAGGGCCGGGGAGCTGATGTTCCAGTTTGATGGCCGTGCACCTGGAGACCCAGGGAGGAACATCAAACTGGAACATCTGCTCCCCGCAGTGCCTCCAGCTGCATGGCTCCCAAACTGGAACATCGGTTCCCACCCGGGTCTCCAGCTGCACGGCCCTCAAACTGCAACATCGGCTATCCCCGAGTCTCCAGCTGCACGGCCCTCAAACTGGAACATCAGCTTCTCCCCAAGTCTTTCAGCTGAATGGCCCTCAAACTGGAACTTCAGCTCCCCACCGGGTATCCAGCTGCATGGCCCTCAAACTGGAAGTTCAGCTCCCCACCGGGTCTCCAGCTGCACGGCCCTCAGACTGGAACATCAGCTCCCCACTGGGTCTCCAGCTGCACGGCCCTCAGACTGGAACATCAGCTCCCCACCGGGTCTCCAGCTTCACGGCCCTCAAACTGGAACTTCAGCTCCCCAACGGGTCTCCAGCTTCACGGCCCTCAAACTGGAACTTCAGCTCCCCACCGGGTATCCAGCTGCATGGCCCTCAAACCGGAAGTTCGGCTCCCCCGCGGGTCTCCAGCTGCACGGCCCTCAGACTGGAACATCAGCTCCCCGCCGGGTCTCCAGCTGCACGGCCCTCAAACTGGAATAGTTTGAACTCAGCGGGGAGCTGATGTTCCAGTTTGAGGGCTGTGCAGCTGGAGACCCGGCAGGGAGCTGATGTTCCGGTTGTAGGGCTGTGCAGCCGGAGACCCAGGGGGAAGCTGATGTTCCAGTTGTAGGGCCGTGCTACTGGAGACCCAGGGGTGGAGCTGATGTTCCAGTTTGAGGGCCATGCAGTTGATGACCCGGCGGGGAGCTGATGTTCAAGTTTGAGGTCTGTGCAGCTGGAGACCCGCGGGGGAGCTGATGTTCCAGTTTGATGGCCATGCAGCTGGAGGCTCTGATGGGAGCTGATGTTGCAATTTGAGGGCCATGCAGCTGGAGACCTGGCGGGGAGGTGATGTTCCAGTTTGAGGGCCATGCAGCTGGTGACCTGGCAGGGAGCTGATGTTCCAGTTTGAGGACCGTGCTCCTGGAGACCTAGCGGGGAGCTGATGTTCCAGTTTAAGGCCATGCAGCTGTATGCCCGGGGGGAACTGATGTTGCAGTTTGAGGGCCGTGCATCGGGAGACCCGGTGGGGAGCCAGTGTTGCAGGTTGAGGGCCGTGCAGCTGGAGACCCTGTGGGGAGCTGATGTTCTTGTTTGAGAGCCGTGCAGCTGGAGACCCTGTGGGGAGCTGATGTTCCTGTTTGAGAGCTGTGCAGCTGGAGATCTGGTGGGGAGCTGATGTTCCAGTATGAGGGCCGTGCGGCTGGAGACCTGGTGGGGAGCTGATGTTCCAGTTTGAGGGCCGTGCACCTGGAGACCCGGCAGGGAGCTGATGTTCCAGTTTGAGGGCTGTGCAGCTGGATACCGGGGGTGGAGCTGATGTTCCAGTTTGAGGGCCATGCATCTGGAGACCCAGTTGGTAGCCAGTGTTGCAGGTTGAGGGCTGTGGAGTTGGAGACCCGGGTTGGGGGGAGCTGATGTTCCAGGTTGAGGGCCATGCTGCTGGAGACCCAGCGGGGAGCTGATGTTGCAGTTTGAGGCGGTGCAGCTGGACATGCAGGGGGGAAGTGATGTTGCAATTTGAGGGCTGTGCAGCTGGAGACCCTGTGGGGAGCTGATGTTCCTGTTTGAGGGTCTCGGAGCTGATGTTCCAGTTTAAGGCCATGCAGCTGGAGACCCGGTGGGGAGCTGATGTTCCAGTTTGAGGGCCATGCATCTGGAGACCCGGTGGGGAGCTGATGTTGCAGGTTGAGGGCCATTCATCTGGAGACCCAGTGGGGAGCTGATGTTGCAGGTTGAGGGCTGTGCACCTGGAGCCCCGGGGTGGAGCTGATATTCCAGTTTGAGGGCCGTGCAGCTGGCAATCTGGTGGGGAGCTGATGTTCCAGTTTGAGGGCCATGCAGCTGGAGACCGGGCAGGGAGCTCATGTTCCAGTTTGCAGGCAGTGCAGCTGGAGACCCGGCGGGGAGCTGATGTTCCAGTTTGAGGTCCGTGCAGCTGGAGATCTGGTGGGGAGCTGATGTTCCAGTTTGAGGGCCCTGCAGCTGGAGACCCGTGGGGATCTGATGTTCCAGTTTGAGGGTGGTGCTGCTGGCGACCCAGGCGGGAGCTGATGTTCTAGTTTTAGGGCCCTACAGCTGGAGACCCGGGGAGGAGCTGACATTCCCTTTCGAGGGCTGTGCAGGTGGAGACCTGGGGAGGAACTGATGTTGTTCTAATTTGAGTGTGGTGCAGCTGGAGATCCAGGGATGAGATGGCCCTGCGGTTCAAATATGAGGGTCCCGGAGCTGGACTCTACGTGAGGAACCAATGCTGCCTCTGATGTCTTAGGTTGTGGAGCTGGAAACTCGCGGAGGAGCTGGTATTGGTGTTTCTAGTTGAGGGTCGTGGTATTTCCAGGGTTTCACAGAGGCCAGATTTTATTTCAGTTACTCAGAAGAGAAAGAAAATGTCTTCTGAAAGAGGTGAACTCAGTCATTACCAATAGAAAAAGTATCCACTGTATTTATCTCTTATACAAACAGAAAAATATAACATTTTCCCCCTTAGAATATATATATATATATATATATATATATATATATATATATATATATATATATAAAACTTAAGGTTCTATTGTATGTATCCGAACAATAAAATCTGGAAACCAGCATGAAACTCTATTATTCACATGTTAAAATGTTGAAACTATGACCAAAATATGAAAACTGCTGGAGCTATCAGAAAGACACAAGACAAAAAGCTTCTTGCATATGTATAAACTAAATGTGATAATCTCAAAAAACTGTTCAAAATTATAATTACTTTCCAGTTTAAAAACTTTAATCCTAAATTAAAAAAAAAAATCTATACACAAACCACTGATTTGCCCAGACCAAAGAAAGAAAGAAAGAAAGAAAAGAAAGAAAGAAAGAAAGAAAGAAAGAAAGAAAGAAAGAAAGAAAGAAAGAAAGAAAGAAAGAAAGAAAAAGAAATCAGCGGTAAGGTAAGCAGGACCCAGAGGAGCTGATATTCACAGTTCTTACATGGACAACTCTTTCAGGAATTATCCATAAAGTACTTTATTTTACAACCTGCTTTTCTTATAAAACTAAAGGTGCACTTTTTTACATAAAAGTTTTATACAGTGTTAAAACCAGAACTGTGTGTAAAATACTGCATGTAAATGTTTCTAAATAGTCTTGTTCCAGTGGTTCATCGGTGACTTCTGTGGCTTCGTCATCATTATCCATGGATGATTCTGAAAGAATCTCTCCAGTTTTACTGGAATTGGATCCTACTAATTCTTCTGTTTCACGGCAGTCAGAAGAACCACTACTTTCAGGGCCTTCGTTTTCACTACCTTCAGAATGTAGTAAATCTTTCTCAGCTTGAGACACATCAGATTCCTCCATTTCATTATTTTCCTCAGAAGTCTCTTCATTCACAGTTGAGGCATCATCAGATTCTTTTTCTTGGTTTTTTCTTTCTGGGACCATTTCTCTTGATGTCATAAAAGACTCTAAAAATAAGCAAATGTTGTTGTACTTAAATTTTATATTCAAAATACCTCCACAGTTAAGTTTCGTGAATTCTGATGTTCTGTAGTTCAAATCACATCCCCTGAAATTCAGCAGCAACTGCATACAGGTGGGAGAAAAGCCCAGCGTCGACATTACAAGGAGTTCCATGATGTACAATTCTTTCACAAAAACAATGAATGCAAGAATTTGAGGATCTCCTTACTCCTCCCTTTTACAGATGGTCTCTCAATCCCTTCTTCTTCCTCTTCATCTTCATCTTCTTCTGAACGCGCTGCCGGGTACCATGGCTTTTTTTGTCTTTATCATGAGATGAAGGTGATGCTTCTGTTTCTTCTACCATAACTGAAGAAATTTCGCTGCAAGTCGCTTGACTGGCTATTTCTCCGACTTCGCCTTTTTTGTCAAACCTGAGTCTTTTTACCTCATGCCCCTCAGCTTCCACAGCATCTTCATCTGGATGTTTATTTCTCAAAGGGCTCACTGAGGAAACTTCTGATTCAGATGTCGAAGAGTCACTGAGTTTTCTCTTCATTTTGCTGCAAATTTGCCTCTTTGCTGTCTGTGCTCTCAGGCCACCCATTTGTTGTCATGGGGGCTGACAGAGAAACCTTTGGTCGATTACGTGGCCTGGGTGTCCCAGGCCCATTTATATTAGACCTCTCAGTATAGCTTGGTGCATTTCCAGGAAACATCACACCATTCATTCGATTTAAACTATTGGAATTGTTTTTCTCTGAAGAAGGATAAACACAGCTAACAACCATCACGTTCTTTTCTACTCCTCTGAGAAATTTGTCTGTTCCTGTATAGTTTCTCCTCGGATCTGTTAACAATTCACATAATCGCTGAATAGTAAAAGGGATACGGTTAAATCCAGTGACAGTTTTTCAGTATTCTTCCCTTTGTTTCATCACAGGGAATATATTCGACATTAGGGTTGGGAGGACCTCTTGGCGCAGGAGCTGAAGTTCTGAAATCATCCATCACTTTCTCCAGTTTGAAAATAAAATAGCCTTTAAATTGGGACCACGGAATCTGTTTCTCCAGTCTTGGCTACATGACAAAAGGAACTGATCCAGGACAGGACAGACTTTCTTTTTTGCCTCTTCTCAAAATCTTCCAGCGCCTCCTGGAGCCTGTCGACGTCCATGGCTTCCCGGAGTCCCTCACAGCCTCCGCCTCCCTCCGCGGGTCTCTTGGGGACCGGAACGCCTCCCCCCACCCCCCGACGTCCTCCCACTCCCTCGCACACCCTCCAGCACGCAGGCCAAGTGGGGTGGGGGGGAACGAAGGGAGCCGGGGAAGCGTGTGAGAGAGTGAGACCGACAGAGTGAGCACCTCCCCAAGCCGCTACCACCAGCCCTCCAACATGGCGCCTGGCACATCACCCTAAAAAGTCATTTCTTGGAGAAGCGATGGATGACAGAGATTAATCTGAGAGTTACTATTAATGGAGAAACTTAGAACTTACCATTTTTCCTGTGAGGTTTCGGTGCTGATACTTCTATTCTGTGAGTTCTGGCAATTGTGTCCGTTCACCCAGCCTGGTGATGCAGCAGGTGTCACAGAAGGACCCTGTCCCAGCTGGTCCTGCTCCACTGCTAGGATGGTGTGGCCTCTGATCTGTGACCGTGTCTTGAGGGGAGACCAGGCCCTTGATCACAAGCGTATCCATGGTGAGGTTCCGTGGATGGAAGCTCATGGATGTTCCTTCCTGATGTTCATCTGCCACCATGCTATTGAATGCATCTTGTTTATAACTGTCTTCTAAATATTGAATAGAAATAAAGCGTTTTTACAGTATGGGTAAGGTATAAAGAATATTGACACATTGGACACAGAGGACCTCCACCAAGTTTAGGGAGTAGAATCTGAAGAGACATAGCTTTGGATGCTCCCTGGAGGCCCTGCCTGAGTCCCAGTCCCTTCCCTTCTCCTACGGAGGGAATCACTTCCTGCTTTAGTCTTTATTATTTGCACACTTTCCTTCATAGTATGTTTCTTTCACCGTGTGTGTACATCCCTAAAAGATATGCCATTTAGTTTTTGAACTTTCTGTTTTCTTTTTGAGGCAGGGTCTTGCTCTGTTGCCTCGGCTGTAGTTTTGAACTTTGACGTGAGGGAATTCTCCTGCGTGGCTGCTCCTGCACTGCATGGCTCTGAGCACCTGCTCTGTGTCTATTTTTGTCCTCCATTCTCTCCCTGAGACCCACCCACACTGACATGGCTCATTTTCATTGCTGCATGGTCTCCCGTCGTCTGAGGGGAGCATGGGAAATGTCTTCATCTTCCCGTGGATGAGTGTTTGGCCAGGTTGGGGCCCTTAGGACTGTGTTTTGTTGGGAACGTTCTTGGGCATTTCTTTTGTACACAAGCGCAAGTTTCTTCTGGTCAGTAGCTTTCAAATTTTAAAATTTCATCCCAGGTAAAAATGTAATTTTCCTCATAACCCACAACACACACACTTTCATATACAAGCATAGCAGAAATATACTTCACAAGCGTTAGCAGTGCCTGGTGTTCCTGCTTCTCTCCATTCTCCCCAACGCTGGCATGGATTGGGTTGTGGGATTTTTGCCCGTCTGGTGGTTGTCACGTGATATCTCCCCCTGTTAGGCTGAGCCCCTCTTCATGTTTTCATTAGCCATTCCTCCACATTTCCTCTTCTGTGGAGGGCCGGTTCAGCTCTTTTGCCCAGTTTCTGTTAAGTTGTTTGAATTTTTGCACTTTTCCTTTATTATTCCTATTACTATGTTTTTGAGACAATATCACTCTGCCACCCAGGCTGGAGTGCAGTGGCGCGATCTCAGCTCACTGCAACCTCCATCTTCTGGGTTCAAATGATTCTCCTGCCTCAGCCTCCCAAGTGGCTGGGATTACAGGCACGCACCACCACGCCCAACTAATTTTTATATGTTTACTACAGATGGGGTTTCACCATGTTGTCCAGGCTGGTCTGAAACTCCTGACCTCAGGTGATTCTCCCACCTCAGCCTCCCAAAGTGCTGGGATTATGTGGGTGGCAAGCCACCCAGGCACCGAGGCAAGAGACAGAGGACACGAGCTGTTCCAGTATAATAAAATATAAAACAAGAATAGTTATACCAGATATAGATCTTAGATATGATTATATATGAATATCATTAATCATTAGTTTGTAGCAATTACTTTTTATTCCAATATTATGATAATCCTTGCTCTATAATCGTAGCCTAGGAAAAACCAGGCCATACAGAGATAGGAGCTGAGGGGACATAGTGAGGTGTGACCAGAAGACAAGAGTGCGAGCCTTCTGTTATGCCCGGACCGGGCCACCAGAGGGCTCCTTGGTCTAGCGGTGATGCCAGCGTCTGGGAAGATGCCTGTTACCAGGCGGATAGCAAAAGGTGTCAAGGAACAACACCCGATACTTAGCAGACCGGGAAAGGGCGGGGAGGGGGGGGGGTCTCCCTTTCCCCGGGGGAGTTTAGAGAAGACTCTGCTCCTCCACCTCTTGTGGAGGGCCTGACATCAGTCAGGCTCGCCTGCAGTTATCCGGAGGCCTAACCGTCTCCCTGTGATGCTGTGCTTCAGTGGTCACGCTCCTAGTCCGCCTTCATGTTTCATCCTGTACACCTGGCTCTGCCTTCTAGATAGCAGTAGTAAATTAGTAAAAATACTAATAGTCCCTGATATGCGGAAATAATGGCATAAGCTGTCTTTCTCTCTGTCTCCTCTCCCTCTCTGCCTCGGCTGCCAGGCAGGGAAGGGCCCCCTGTCCAGTGGACACGTGACCCACGTGACCTTACCTATCATTGCAGGTGACTCACATTCTTTACCCTGCCCCTTCTGCCTTGTATCCAATAAATAACAGCGCAGCCAGACATTCGGGGCACTACCGTTCTCCGCGCATTGGTGGTAGTGGCCCCCCGGGCCCAGCTGCCCTTTCTCTTATCTCTTTGTCTTGTGTCTTTATTTCTACACTCTCTCGTCGCCGCACACAGGGAGAGACCCACCGACCCTGTGGGGCTGGTCCCTGCAGGGTTATAGGCATGAGCCACCATGCCCGGCCTGCTTTTTTCTTTTTCAAAAGGACTCTTTCTAGATTATACCTATTCATTCCGGTGACTATATGTGGGGCAAAGATGGGTTTGAATCCACCAGGATAAACGTGCCGGATCTCCTCTCTGATGGAAGAAGAGACAGGGATAGAAGGGTGCAGAGAATCAGAGCCAAGAGGAGGCCGAGTCAGGCGGGGGTTGCAGGCTGCTGTGAGGACTTGGCTGCTTCTCTGAGTCTGGTGGGATTAGCAGGGGATTTAAACAGAGGAACCGTGGGATCTCCCTTATGCATTTCTGCCATGGTTGGCTCAGCTGAACACACCTCTTGAGCAAGACTTGGTCTTGGACACCCAGAGGCCCTTGGTTGAGGGTTTACCTCCTGGCGTGGCCACTGACACATCCACGTTTGTCTCCCACACGGCTGGGCGGCCCCGAGACCTGCTGTGCGTGCCCTTCTCATTGGTGGCATTTCTCAAGTTTGTCCCCTCTCAAGTCTGCCCCATCCGGAAAACCAAACACCTCTCTCTCCTACATGGAAACCCCCGTCAGCACCTCCTCCTGACTCACAGGGCATCCCGTCAACATCACAGTCCCAACCTTCCCACATGGAGAAGCTCATGGGACCCCCGATGGACCAGGACAGTGCCAGCACTAAGACGTGCCCTGAAACTCACAGGAAGAGCGGACCAAGAAGCCGGGAACAGCACGGGGCACTGGGAGCTGCAAACGCCCACGATACTGTGAGAGACGGAGAAAGGTATGACAGGAGGAGCAGACCAAGAAGACGGGAACAGCACGGCGCACTGGGAGCTGCAAATGCCCACGATACCGTGAGAGATGGAGAAAGGTATGGCCATGGCGGTCACAAAATGTTCCTCAACATTTATTAAAGGCCTAAATGGAGAACATAACGCTATCAAACCCTTAGCTAAAAACACAGGGGAAAATTCGTATGGCCTGGGGTTAGGCGAAAAGTTCTTAGACATGACACCAAAAGCATGATTCATAAGATTGACAAATTAAATTTAGTCATAAATTTAAAATTATAATTCTATAAAGCAATATAAAAATCCAAAGAGAATGAAACATGAACTATGGTCTAGAAATAAACATTTGTGAATCACACGTCTCACAACCTACTGGCACGCAGGATATATGAAGAACCATCAAAACTTAACCATAAGAAAGTAAAAACCCCAGTATTAAAGAGAGGGCCAATATTGGAACGGAGGCCTCATCAAAGAAGGTATAAGGAGGGCATATTGCCCGAGAAAGAGGCTCAACATCATAGAGATGCTGGAGAAATGCCAGTCAGCAGTACCTCTGCAAATCCATTAAAATGGCTAAAAACAGACAAAACCCATGGGCCAACCCAGGTTCTAGTGATGATGCAGAGGAACTGGGACCCTCATAAGCTGCAGTGGGAATGGGAGGGGTCCCGCCATGCTGGAAAGTGGTCCTGGAGTTTCTTACGAAGTTAAGCACATCCTTACCATGTCATCCAGCAACCCCACTGCTGAAATGTCCCCCAAGGGAAAACTTAAACGTGCACACACAAACCTGCACACAAGTGTTTAGGCCTCATTCCTCATTGCCAATAACTGGAAGAAAACAAAATGTCCGTCGGCAGGAGCAGGAGAAGGCGTGAACTAACGCGGATGCTTCCACACAGGGGGCACCAACCAGCAGTGGAAAGATGCACCCAAATGCCCCAGGTCTCCCAGGCTACATGCCCGTTGAAGGAAGCTAGTTTCGGTGGGCACAGGCCAAAGGATGCCAACACATGACATCTTGGAGAAGACAGTGTACCGTGTCGGGGAGCAGGGCAGTGGTTTCGAGGGGCTACGGGTGGAGGGGCGAATGGAGGAGCTCTCTGGGGCGATGGCGTGAGCACCTGCACCTCACTGTGGGCTGCTGCGGCTGAGGGGCTGGTACGGCAAACACTGGCTTCAGTACATGCAGACTGAAGGAGGAAGGCTCCCACAACTCAGAGACAGAGGGTGTCGCCTCCATGAAACAAAAACATATTTTAAAAAAAAACCTCTTAAAATTAAGAAAAAAACCACAAAAAGTATTTCATAAGCGCATTGACTTTGAGTTGACACAATCTACCTGGGAGCATGGAACTGAAACCACAGGCTTGGCAATCCCGGAGGGAGAGGGTGGAGGGTTTAGACCTCAATTGAAGGGCTCAGTACCTGGCTATAGGAAATAACATTTAAAAAGCAGCAGGGTGGAAATAATTTCTGCTGATGAGGTTGCATCTCTCCAGATAGCCGGCAGAGTAAATTAAAGCAATATAGTCTTGCTCTGTTGCCCAGGCTGGAGTGAAGTGGCGCCATCTCCGCTCACTGTAAGCTCCGCGGGAGAATCTCTTGAACCCTGGAGGCAGAGGTTGCGGTGAGCCGAGATCCCGCCATTCCACTCCAGCCTGGGCAACAAGAGCGAAACTCCGTCTCAAACCAAACAAAATTAGGTAACTAACCCAGGACTAAAACAGCGTAACTTTAAAAAAATAAGTCTAGGAGGTATGATGTTCATTCCCTGCAAGCCAATAAAGGTCACGTCTGGGGCATACATCTAAAAAAATAATCCTAAAGAGAAAGTTATGGTCACAAATATGTTCTGTATGGTGTTATTAAGAGCAAAAATGGGAAACAACCCAAATATCAGTAAAATGGGACTGAACCCTTGCAAATTTACTAAAATAAAATTGTTAAACATGATGCACAAGACGAAGATTTTAATAAAGTGAAAAGACAGGAAACATACTTACTAATGATTATTGGTTTATTTTTCATGCCACTTCATTCCACAAAAAGATTTCAGATATCTTAGAAAAAGACACACTAGAAATATTAAAATACTATCTGAACCAGAAGCAGAATCAGGGTAAGCTAGCAGAAAGGCGTATGAGCCAAAGGGATCTACCCAGCTTTCAAAGCTGACCACGGCCGTGCGCAGTGGCTCTGTCTGTAATCTCCGCACTTGGGGAGGCCGAGGAGGTAGGATCGCTTGAGGCCACAAGTTCGAGACCAGCCTGGGCAACAGAGCAAGATCCCGCCTCTACCAAAAATTTAAAAATCAGCCGGAAGCCAGACACTAGGGACATGGCTGAGGATCGCTCCCGCCCCTCGGAGGCCAGAAACCGAGGGTCACTCCCGCTCTCTAGAGGCCGGAGGCCCCGGGCCGCTCCCGCCCACCTCCGCGGACGAGCGCCGCCCCTTCGACCCCATTCCCTGAGGTCTGGACGTTCAGGCCCTCTCGGTCTGGGAGATCCCGGAGAACCACCCACGGGGCTTTAAAAAATGTTGGTGCCCAACATCTCCCCGAAATAGGGCCCGCCCTATCTCGGTCGGGGAGCGCGGGACCTCCGTGGCCACCCAGCGCCACCGTCCGCGGGTCCGCTTTGCGCAGGCGCGGCGTCCCCGCCCATTAGACCCCTGCCCGGGCGTGTCGTGGTGCGCAGGCGCGATGTCCCCCACTAGCGCCCCGCCTTGACCCGGCCGTGGTGCGCAGGCGCAGTCTGCGCAGGGACTGGCGGGACTGCGCGGCGGCGACTACAGACGTGTCGGGGGTCCGGGGCCTGTCGCGGTTGCCAAGCGCTCGGCGCTTGGCGCTGGCGCTGGCCAAGGCGGTGAGTCCCTGCCGCGGACCGGGGCAGGGCAGGCGGGGGGCGAGGCGGCGGTAGGAGCGGGACGGTCCCCAGCGGGTCCGAGCGGAGCGGGCGCCGGGTGCCCGCGCCCCCTGCCCGGGGATCGGGAAGGGGCTGGGAGAGCCCTGGGCCGGTGCGAGGGGGAGCCGCGGAGTGTACTCGGGGGCCTGGGGAGCTCGGTCCTTAGCAGGTAGGCCGCGTCCCGGTGAAGGTCGCGACCCCGCGGGCTTGCTGGGCGTCCCCTCCGCCGCTTTGGTCCGGGCCTGGGGTCCGGCGACCTCGCGGGCTGAGGTAGCCCCTCGCCTCTGCCTGGCGGGTGGACTCGGGGAGGAGTCGTGTCTGCCCAAGGTCACCGGGGTGGAGTCCTGGCTGGGCCGGGCCTCTGCCGCCCTCTGTGAGGGTTGTCCTGCGGGGCCGCCCGCAGCCCGTGGGTGGGGCCGGCGGGGCGGGTGAAACCGCCTGGGTGGGTGCGAGGAGTGGCCGGGCTCGGCCGGGTGGGTGTCCGGTGGGAAGCGCGGCGCGCCCGAGCTTGGGCTTGCAGTTCCCCTTTCCAGAGAGCGCAAATCTGTGCATGTCCACTTCGGGATCTTGGAAGTTAAGGACCTGTACTTTGGGTCCCGTTTGGTGGCCCTTGTGCCACAAAAATGTGCCGGTGTTTAAAAGCAGCTGTGCCAGTTTTTAAAAATCAGACGGAGAGCTCAGGGCACTGACCGAGCGAGGACTCCAGGACCTGTGCTTGCCTGTGCGCTGAGTACCTCGAGGGCCGGGCTCGGCTTAGTCCAGGATGATGGTCAGGGTTATACTTCCCTGAGCCCTTGCTCTCTGAGTGTCTGAATGTGCCCTCTACGATTGCATCTTCAGAATCGGCCTTCTAGGATTTCATTTAATCAAGCGAAATTGGATAGGTTTAGTTGTTTGGTTCTTTTAAATGAACTTAGCCACCCACCTCTTAATTACAAAGTAATTTTAAATTGCAGAGTAAAAATCTCAATAGAGGAACCAAGGCATTCAGCAATATTGATTTGAATTATGCCTGTGATTGTGCAATTTTCTCCTTTTTGAAATAGTTATTGAAAATCTCTTTGAATTAAATGTGAGGATTAGTCATACAGCCATCCTGTCAACATCGGAAAGCGTGTAAACCGTTCTAGCGTGTTGCTGTGGTTGGTGCTGACTGAGCAGAGACCCCCGCCGCATCTTGGGCTCTTAGGAGCTGCTGGGAGGGCGTCCACAAGCAGGAGGTGAAGCCCATGGTCAGTGGGACTTTTTAGGGGCAATGGTAGCTTGTGGTTGGAGAGAAGCTAGATAGAGCCAGTGCCTTTGTCCCCAACCCAGATGGTGCCCAGTGTTCCTTCTGCAGACTAAGGCCCCAGGCACCTCAGACCAGATGGCAAGATAGCAAAATGGAACCAAAATTTAGTCTTGGGTTTTGTAAAAGTCTTTTTATCTTGATGAAGGTAGCTTTTCCTACAGAAAGTCGTGCGTTTTTGGGTTCTTCGTTGGCTGCTTTTGTGATTGTGTAGGCTGTACATGCAGATTCGTTTCTTGCTCATGATTTATAGGTGCATTTTATTCGATGAGGACCCCTTACTTTGCTAGATTTCGGATATGAATGTCTCTGCACTTGTTACTTTTCCCCCTCCACCTCCTGATTCAGTCATCTGAAATTCTGTATTGTTAAGCAAGGTCTAAGTATTCCTTTTAGTTATATGTTCCCCATGTTTTTTCTTAGAGGAAATGTTTGATAGTTTCTCCTAAAAAATTAATAATTGGCACAAAAGACTAGTTTTGTGTCAAAAGTAGTTTTGAGTTTTATCTAAAGACTGACATTGGCTTGAAGTTGGGCTTTCCAGATTCAAAAATCTGCCCCAGATGAGATTTAGATGCAGAGGGTTAGTGTCCTTTTCCCCAGGGGGATGGCGTGATGATTTGTTCAAGATTGTGTTATAGTAGCTGCCCCTTTTAAGGCAGCTGTGTGTGTGTGTGGTGGGGAGTGGGCAGTGTGTATTCCACATCAACATCCTAGAAAGAACGAATAAACATTTAGTGATCTCACTGTTTCTACTTACATTTGGTATAATGTACTGTTTTTATTGGTGCTATTACCTATGTTAATAGGGCACTTTACAAAATTTTCAAGAACGTTTTTATTAAAATTATTTCAAAGACTTCTTTCTTAAAATATGATTTTACCATGTAAAAAATTATACTAAGGTAGAAGAATATTCGTTCTTTCTCATTTTCTGAAAAAAGAAAAAACTAAATTAGCTTATGTCAATAAAAACAGACTAGAAATTGGAGAAATGAAGAATAATTTTTTATCCCACATAATAAGTAATTTGTGAATTGCAAGTATTTCTAAATACTTGAAGACATCCCTCACATCCCCTCTTCTGATTGCTGAGTGCATAATTTCCTAAAGCTTTTTTTTTTCTTTTGTTTTTTTGGAGACATTGTCTCGCTCTGTCGCCCAGGCCGGAGTACAGTGGCACAGTCTCGGCTCACTGCAACCTCTGCCTCCTGGGTTCAAGCGATTCTCCTGCCTCAGCTTCCCAAGTAGCTGGGATTACAGGTGCCCGCCACCACGACCAGCTAATTTTTAGTAGAGAGGGGGTTTTGCCATGTTGGCCAGACTGGTCTCGAACTCCTGACTTCAGGTGATCTGCCCACCTTGGCCTCCCAAAATGCTGGGATTACAGGCATGAGCCACCACGCCCAGCCCCTAAAACTATTCTTGATGATATTTCTGAGACTATTCAGTGGTCTTCTAAAATGCCGCCAGCAGAATGGAAAACGTATCCCCTAAATGGCTGGCCAACCTTAGCATATGGGACAGTGTGACCTCTCTCACACAGAGCCACTAAAAACTAAACACTAAAACCAGTTTTCTTGAGTAAAGGTTTCTAAGATGGAAAATTTAAGCAGTGAGATATGTCAAGTTGTAGACGTTGGCCAGGAAAAAGCCAGCATCAACCAGGCAGGGGAGAGTGTGCATCCGACATCCTCCTGTGTGATGAAGGGATGACACCTCTTCCCTCTGGGCTGTCAGCCTTTACTGTTCCAGGATACAGATCTCCTGATTCAGGTGTCCAGTGCCTTTTGAACTGACCGCAAGCCCTCCTGGACGATTGGAACTGTAATGTGGAAAGGGCTCTGATGGAGCCGGTTAAAATGCTTCATTATTTGCAAAATACCACATACAGTAATACGATCTGGATGTCTTTCCCCTCCTCCACTAAGTAGCATAAGTGAAGACTTCCCAGAGGAAGTGCGTCTTTTTCATCTCGTATCTGAGTCAGTGAGTATCCTTTTTGGAAACAAGCTTCATCCTGGTTTTCTAGAGTGCCAAGTCAGGGTGGAAAGGAGGACCTGGGGGCTCAGTCCTTCCTTGCCCCTTGGGCTGCCCTTCAGGGTTAAATAGAGGGTCCCAGCTGAGCTCTCTGGATGCACAGGAGCACCTGGGTACATAAGAAGGTGAACAGTTTTCAAGGGGAAGTTTGAATTACTATCCCCCACAGCATTTGTTCCTTCAGGACACTAACCCTCTGGATCTGTGTCTTCTGTGTCTCCAGTGGCCAACAGTGTTGCAAACAGGAACCCGAGGTGTTCACTTCACTGTTGAAGGAACGAGAGGGCATCTGCTAAAGTTTCAGATTCCGTAAGTTCATGCTTTTTGTTCCATTATAAATGATTTTTTTGGCTTGGGGGTAAGGATCTATACCAGTTTGTTTTCATATGAGTCATAGACATAAGGGAAAAATTTCTCATAGGTATCCAATGCATGCTGAAATTATTTTCAGTGTAATAATACTTAATTGCAAGTACCAATATAAACATAGATGTTAACATTTTTACTTGTATCTGTTATGTATCTATAAATTAGATTTAAATTTAGGTCAAGTAAAGCAATAAATTAAAATGAACAGTATCTGCTGTGATAGATGATAAAATCCTACTGAAAAGAGGACCGTGGGGCCCTTCCGGTGTGGGTTCCTTGGTATTGAGTGTGCCTGTTCTCTCTCTGTTGGAAAACTGAAACGTGCTGAGAAGTTCTTTTCTCATAAGCTCACAATAGCGACTGAATGCTCCTTGGTACCTTCTCAGGCATAAGCATAGGCACGGCCCTGAAGTAGAGTTGTGGTCCTCAGTCTGATCCCATGGAATAGACCCTCTACCATTCATAGAATCTGATTATCAGTCCCTTCTCCAGGTGCGAATGTGCCTACTTCTCCCTGCACTGTTCAGGGCTCAGCCCCAGGACAGGATGGAGGCCCTGTGTGCCCAGCAGTTGCTCCTTTTATCTTTGTCAAGCTCTTTCACTGGCACAAGAGTCTTCATGTTTGGCATAGTGGAACCTGTGCTTGACAGGTGAATTTTTCTTTTCCAGATTTCTGCTCAGTATCCAGTAGTGGATCATGAATTTGATGCAGTGGTGGTAGGCGCTGGAGGGGCAGGCTTTGCGAGCTGCATTTGGCCTTTCCGAGGCAGAGTTTGATACAGCATGTGTTACCAAGCTGTTTCCTACCAGGTCACACACTGTTGCAGCGCAGGTAAGAGAAAGGTGCCCCACTGTGCTCCCACTCCGTGCAGGTCCCGCGCAGCCTCGCACTTTCTACCTGGGCAGCCTCCTGCCTCCTCCCTGTGCTCCAGCCACTTGGCCTCTTGCTGTGCCTTACTCAGCTCACCCATTCAGGGGTCTCTCCCTGGAGCCTCTTCCCTGGGGACTTTGAAGGGCGGGAGCCTTGTTGTCACTCTTAATTCAGACTCCAGTCACACTTGGGTTTTCTCTGACCATCTACCCTCCCCACCCACCCCTGCCACCCCAACACCTTAAGAAAAGGAGATCATCTAAAGAGGAGGATTCAGAATTTAGGTTGGGGAAGAAAAGGGCAAGGGTTTCATTTGTCCCTGGTGCTGCTGTCTTCTGGGACTCTCTGAGGGGTAAGACGGTGGTGGGCACACACAGCCAAAGGAAGTAGGGGTACAGGGGAGTGCGACTCTGAGTATGGAGTTTATTACTTGGCAGGAAGCACTTCTAATCTTTAACACATGCCCGTAAATGCCGTTGGGAAGATTTGTTAATAAAATTATGCGGAGAGATTCATGGAGTACCTTTTCTGTGCCAGATACGTTAGGTAATAAGCATATTACAGGTAGCCTTTCACTCACTGCTCCAGTCAGCCCTTCCTGGAGTTCCCTCTGTCTCCACCACACAGATGAGGAGACTGAGGCTAAGGGATGGAATCACTGGGTGAGTCTGGGAGGGGTTGTGATCTGGAATCTGTCAGGCCTGGCTGCTCCTCTGCTGAGGTCAGCCCTCACTGGGAGTCACCATGTGAGTAGCTGGCTTTCTCTGAATCCCCCAGCGGGTGGATTTGGGCCTGGAAGACAAAGCTGGGGCTCCTGTTTGTGGCTTGTAAGGAGTGGTTGGTGTTTCCAGGTTGGAATCAATGCTGCTCTGGGGAACATGGAGGAGGACAACTGGAGGTGGCATTTCTATGACACCGTGAAGGGCTCCGACTGGCTGGGGGACCAGGATGCCATCCACTACGTGACGGAGCAGGCCCCCACTGCCATGGTCGAGGTGATGGGCGGGAGGCTCTGGGTGCTCTGGTGGTCTGTTTCCAGTACAAGAGTCCTGGAAAAAATGTAAGCAGTTGAGGCAGATGTGGCAGCCGAAAGAATGGTGATTAGCAAAGCTCACAAGAGAAGTCTTTGTCCATCATGAACTATGTATTACATGTAATAAGAAAAACTTCTCTTTGATGAAGTGTTGACATTTTCATAAAATAGGTTAATTTGGGTTTGCAGATTTGTATTAAAGTTGTTTAGTGTAGATTAGCTGTGAATATCTTGACTCCTTTAGGGTAATAAGGCTTTTGTTTGTTTTTATCTTTCACAGGTAGAAAATTATGGCATGCCGTTTAGCAGAACTGAAGATGGGAAGATTTATCAGCGTGCATTTGGCGGACACAGCCTCAAGTTTGGAAAGGGCAGGCAGGCCCATCGGTGCTGCTGTGTGGCTGATCGGACCGGCCACTCAATATTGCACACCTTATATGGGAGGGTAAGGCTGCCCCCCGTCCACCTGAGACAGGACACATAGTGCTGGGGCTTGTGGTGACAGCGGGGAATGGGTTAGCGTGCCCAGTGAGTCAGCCAGAGATTGCGTAAAAAGCAACAGAGAACAGCCGTGTGGGGCACATGCAGCGACTGTGGATGTGACAGGAGCAGGCGTGTGCCTTGAGAAGCTGCCCCTAAGGCAATGTGTGAGTTGTTGCCTCTATGTTGGGAAGTTGAATTGATAATCTTATATACCAGGTTTTCACTTGGGATATGTGACACTCAGCATGTAAGAACAGAGCAAGCAGGCCAGGCACAGTGGCCCACGTCTGTAATCCCAGCACTTTAGGAGGCCAAGGCAGGAGGATCACTTGAGACCAGAAGTTTGAGACCAGTCTGGAGAACATAGTGAGACCCTGTCTCTACAGAAAGTTTAAAAAGTAGCTGAGCATGGTGGTACATGCTTGTAATCCCAGTTACTCAGGAGGCTGAGGCAGGAGGATCACTTGAGACAGTGAGCCATGTTCATACCACTGCACTCCAGCCTGAGCAACAGGAGACCTGTCTCAAAAAAAGACAAAGAACAAGTATTTTAAGGCTCTTTTACCACCTCTGAGTTCCTGAATGGATTGGTTTGGTTTGTTTGTTTTGTTTTGCTTTGTTTTTGAGACGGAGTCTCACTCTCACCCAGGCTGGAGTGCAGTGGCGCGATCTCTGCTCACTGCAACCTCTGCCTCCCGGGTTCAAGCGATTCTCCTGCCTCAGCCTCCAGAGTAGCTGGGACTACAGGTGCACGCCGCCACGCCTTGCTGATGTTTTGTATTTTAGTAGAGACAGGGTTTCCCATGTTGCCCAGGCTGCTCCCGAACTCCTGAGCTCAGGCAGTCCACCTGCCTCGGCCTCCCAAAGTGCTGGGATTACAGGTGTGAGCCACCACACCCGGCCATGGATTGTTTTCATATTAACTGTTATCACTGGACAAAGACTTGAGGTGACAATAGTTACTGGGTAATCAGGGTCAACTTTGGCATGACCAAACAATATCCTGAACAGTATTGATTCAGAGTAATCCATGTTCTGAGCTTTGTTGTTTTCTGATGCATGGGGACGGATCAGTAATGTGCAGGTTGTTAGAACACCAGTGACTTCTCTGTGGCTGAGTGCATCGACAAGTGTGTGGTGGGAGGAGACGGCGGCTCCTTCCGGAGCAGGAGCTGTCATGTGGGGAGCTGGCCCAGGCTCACGAGAGCGACTTGCGCTGGCTGAGGGAACGGCAGGTCCAGGCGGGCAGCGCTGTCCGGCGCCTACCTTTCTGCGGTGCCGGAATCTGCTCGTCTGCAACCGTCCGCTTTGGTAGCTGCCAGCCACATGGGGCTGTTGCTAATGTGGCAGGTGTAGCTGAAGAGCTGAACGTTTTGACTTATTTTAATTAATTAAGTGGTTATGTGTTGCCAGTAGCTCCCATCTGGGCTGTGACCCCATGGTCTGCGGATCTCACTCTGGCACCAGACTCCGAGTGGAGCTGCATGCGGCCACCGGACAGTGTGGAGTGCCTCTTCGGGTTGTGTAGAAGTAGGAAATGTGTCACCAACATAGGAGCTGTTGCTGCTGCGTTCTCTAGCACACCTGCCTTGTTGGTACTGCTGGGCGTGGAATGCCTCTCGGGCTCTGACAGTGTCATTGACACTGTTGCTGATCTCCTTGGATTTACCTGGTCCATTTGGATCAAGTTCTTTCACCTATTCACATGAGCAGATATCACCTTAAAACCTTAAAGGTTGGCTTAACACTTCTTGCCCTTTTTTTTTCTTTCTTTTAGTCTCTGCGATATGATACCAGCTGTTTTGTGGAGTATTTTGCCTTGGATCTCCTGATGGAGAATGGGGAGTGCCGTGGTGTCTTCGCACTGTGCATACAGGACGGGTCCATCCATCGCATAAGAGCAAAGAATACTATTGTTGCCACAGGGTAGGAATCTAATTTCTACTTTATTTCCTTTGTAAAAATGAATAAATTTCATTTAGAGTCTCTTTATTTTAAGGAAAATAGAGGCATTGTAGAATAGCAGTTCAGACACAGGCCTTGATATAACCACGTGAGGGTGATGGCCTTTCCCAGCCATGGTTCCTCACCTGTAAAGGGTGAGGACAGCAGCACCTGCCTCGGGGTGAGAAAGCATGGCCCTCATTAGTCGGTAGTGGCTGCCGTCAGGTTCACAGCGTACCTCTCCCGATTTTAGATGAGGAAACTGTGGCCCGAAGAGTCACATGGGGTTTTCTGGCAAAATCCCTCTTGTTTTAGTGGGTTCTATGTTTATACTGATTCCTGGGATAGATAAGTCTGTCTTCTCCACATAATGAAAATAAAAAACTTTAATTTTATACAGTGGCAGTTACTTTAGCCACTTTAAAAGTTAAGAAGTGTCAGTACAGCCAAGAAAAAAAATCAGCAAAACTACAGGGTGGGAAAAAATATTTTCCAAACCATATATCTAATGATATCTTAGTATCTAAAATAGCAAAAAAAAATAAAAAATAAAAAAAAGCCCTACTAAAACCAACCTACTAAACCCTACTAAAAAACAACCCTACTAAAAATGGGCAAAGGACTTGAATAGATATTTTTCCAGAGAAGACATACAAATGGCCAGTTGATGTATGAAAAAATGCTCAACATCACCAAGCACCAGAGAAATGCAAATTAAAACCCCAATGAGTATCATCTCATCTCGCTCCAGTTAGAATGGCTGTTACCAAGAGGACAAAAGATAGTGAGTGTTGATGAGGATGTGGAGAAAAGGGAACCCTGTGTGCTGTTGGTGGGAATGTAAATTAGTACAACTATTGTGGAAAACTCTGGAGGTTCCTCAAAAGTCACAGGACTACCATGTGCTCCAGCAACCTCATTTCTGGGTGTATATCCAAAGGGCATGAAATCAGAAGCTCAAAGAGACACCTGGACCCCCATGTTCATTGCAGCGTTATTCACAATACCCGAGATATGGAAACAACCTAAAAATTTTTGGTGTTTAATGACAATGTGGTGTGTGTACACAACTGAATATTATTCAGCTATGAAAACGAAGGAAATCCTGTCATGTGTGACAACGTGGATGAACCCAAAGTCATTATGTTAAGTGAAACGACCCAGGCACAGAAAGACAGATACTGCATGTCACTCATATGTGGATCTAAAACTGTCACAACTCACAGAAACAGAATAGGACAGTGGTTGCCAGGGGCTGGGGGAATGCAGACTGTGGCGATGCTGATTAAAGGTGTAACTTCCCGTCACAAGGTGAAGTTCTGAAGGTCTGATAAACAGCATGGTGGCTAGAGTTAATGTTATAGAGCATGGTGGCCAGAGTTAACATTATACAGCATGGTGGCTACAGTTAAAATCATACAGTACGGTGGCTATCATTAATATAACTTGAAATTTGCGAAGAGAGTAGACCTTAGGTGTCTGTATCTCCAAAAAAAAGGATAATTGTATGAGGTGATAGATGTGTATTAAGTTGATTGTGTCATCAGTTCACAAAATAAATCATCACGCTGTACACCTTAAATATATACAGTATTGTTTTTTGTTTAATTCATCAATCATACCTCAGTAAATCTGGGGGAAAAAAACAAAATCCATAAAAATTTTAAAATTTTCATTATAAAAGTAGTATATGCTTACTGGGGAAACCTTTTGAACAGCACAAATCTAAAATACAAATAGGGCCAGACGCATAGTGGCTCATGCCTGTAATCCCAGCACTTTGGGAGGCCGAAGTGGGTGGATCACCTGAGGTCAGGAGTTCAAGACCAGCGTGGCCAACGTGGCGAAACCCAGTCTCTACTAAAAATACAAAAATCAATTGGATGTGGTGGTGCACACCTGTATTCCCAGGTACTTGGGAGGCTGAGGCAGAAGAATCACTTGAACTTGGGAGCCAGAGGTTGCCGTGAGCCGAGATTGTGCCACCGTACTCCAGCCTGGGCGACAAGAGTTAGACCCTATCTCAAAATAAATAAATAAATAAATAAAATATAAATGGAAGTCTCTTCTCTGATCCCAGGCTTCTATCCTACCTGCGCAGGGTAGCAGCACCACTGGCGTGGCCCCCAGTGATGTGTGTGGGGTGTGCGTGAGTAGGGGGTTGTGTGCACACAGCACTGAGAAGATGGTGCCCGGGGGCTGCCCTGTCCGTTCTGTGATCTCATTAGACAGGAGGTCCGGACGTGGGCCACTGTGTGCAGTCACTGCTCTCTGTTGTTTCCATAGGCTACGGGCGCACCTACTTGAGCTGCACGTCTGCCCACACCAGCACCAGCGACGGCACGGCCATGATCACCAGGGCAGGCCTTCCTTGCCAGGACCTCGAGTTTGTTCAGTTCCACCCCACAGGTAGGGCAGGACGCCTTGCCCGGAAGGCGTTCGGCTCGTGTGTCTTGTAAGCGTGTGGTGCCTACTCATTGCTCTTCCATAGTTTTATGTAATAACATGGTTTTGAAGATCAGCTTCCATAGCTCTCAGGTCCTAACTTCAATGTCATTTCCTTAAGGAGACTTTTCCCACACTCCCCTTCCCCTAAGGCAGTTTGGGCCACCATCTTATGCATTTCTCAAGAGCCCTAAACCCTGCCTTGGTGATACTTATGCCAGCAGTAAAGCAGGGATTGAGGCCGGGCATGGTGGCTCACACCTGTAATCCCAGCACTTTGGGAGGCCAAGGCAGGTGGATCACCTGAGGTCAGGAGTTCAAGACCAGCCTGCACAACATGGTGAAACCTCATCTCTACTAAACATAAAAAAATCAGCTGGGCATGGTGGCATGCACCTGTGATCCCAGCTACTTGGGAGGCTGAGGCGGGAGGAATGCTTGAACCTGGGAGGCAGAGGTTGCAGTGAGCCGAGATCGCACCACTGCGCTCCAGCCTGGGCAACAGAGTAAGACTTCGTCTCAAAAAAAAAAAAAAAAAAAGTAAAGCAGGAATTGTTCAGTGTCCCTCTTTGCAGTGAGGTTGTCAGCAACTCGGGCAGGCAGGTCTTCTCATTAACTGGGGTGCTCCACGCCCAGCACATGGTAGGGTCTCCATCGGGGTTTACTGAGTGAGCATTCTGAGAGCTGGGTGAATGCCGTGGAACCAAGAAGCAGCACAGGCAGATTTCAGCTTTGTAGGACAACACAGAGCTTCCGTGACAATGGGATGTAAAGTTAAGACACAGCCATGAGAGAACCCCATGTGACGTTGGGCGCTGGGCTCAGCCCACGTGACCACTGAGGGAGCTTGTCGTGGGGAAGATGAGCTCGTCTTGGGGACGTCTGACGGTTGAGGTTACGAATGTGCAATTTGGAGACATTAACTCAGAAATGACAGTTGAAGTCTTGAGTTTGGAGGAGGTTCTTCAAAATGAGTCAGAGACAGACACACACACGTCTGCCTCTTGTTTGAGGTGACTCGTCCTGGACTTTTCTGGGTTGCTTTTCTGACCTGTGGACGATGGAGACCCCTGAAGTGGTGCCAAAGAACCAGACCTGTGTCTTCTCTTTCTCTGTCAGTGTCAGCTTTCTGATCCCTGGAAGGGATGAAAATAAGAAATGGATTTGTTGTAGGTTTTTTTTTTAATTTGTTTAGAGATGGGGTCTTGCTCTGTTGCCCAGGCTGGAGTGCAGTGGAGCAATCTTGACTCACTGCAGCCTTTGTCTCCCAGGCTCAAACGATCCTTGCACCTCAGCCTCCCAAATAGCTGGGACTACAGGCATGTGTTACCATGCCCAGCTAATTTTTGAGGGTTTTTTTGTTTTTGGTAGAGACAGGGTGTCACCATTTTAAGCCCAGGCTGGTCTCAAACGCCAGGGCTTAGGCGATCCTCCTGCCTCGGCCCCTCAGGGTGCTGGCATTATAGCCATGAGCCACTGCACCCGGCCTGTTGTATTTTTTATTACTGTTTTTAATCAGCAAAATGTCAGTGAGCCCCTGAATTCCCTCTGTAATTTGCTTAGAGCTCCACTTCTCATGCTTTGTCTTCAATATGTGAGAAGTAACCACAGAAAAAAGAGCATGGAAACTTAGAAAATCAAAAGGCAGGTGAGATGCAAGAATCACATTCTTGTCTTGAAAGCAAGATTGCCCTTTTTGTATACTAATAAAAATTGTAGCTTTTGAAATACATTTAGTTTAGGGTTTTTGATCTCCTTTGTTAAAATTCGAGAGCTTGGCACGCCCTGTTTCTCATCGCACTGAGGAGTCACAGAGCCGCTGTTTGGGGCACAGACCGCCGGACTGCCCAGGTTTGGGTTTGAGCTCTGTCCTCAGCTGCATGACTGGATGTTACCAAGCGTTAATTTGCTTGTCACTGAGAAAGGGGGTCATACTACCCAGAGTTGTTGTAAGACTTAAATGAGTTTAATATGTGGAAAGCAGCTAGAACTGCCCATAGCAAGTGCAGTGTAAAGATGAACTAAAATAATCATTATTACTGTTCTTGCCACTGTTTGGGTAACTTAGATATGAATTCTCCAAGCTAGTATTCTTAACTAGTCACCACAGTATCATAGTGCAAAAGAATGTTCAAAAATTAAAACAAAATTTGAGGCATCCAACGTACACCGGGCTGTAATCAGAGTATTGGCCAGAGGTCTGTGGGCCGGCCTTTCTCCTCTCTGGGGACGCCACTCTGCCCCAGCCTCTGCTGCAGCTGTCAGCCTTGTCAGTGCTTTTTGTTATCCAGACTTTCTACTGTATCTTAACTGTTCTTTCTGTTCAGTTTTGCATATAATGCCTTCTGCATATCTTTTTTGTCTCTCCCCCAAAAAATATCTTGTAAAAAAAAGTAATGCATTTGAAATAGAGACCTAGCAATTGTTAGGTTATAAATGTGTGGTTTTTTGCAGGCACATATGGTGCTGGTTGTCTCATTACGGAAGGATGTCGTGGAGAGGGAGGCATTCTCATTAACAGTCAAGGCGAAAGGTTTATGGAGCGATACGCCCCCATCGCGAAGGACCTGGCGTCTAGAGATGTGGTGTCTCGGTGGATGACTCTGGAGATCCGCGAAGGAAGGTGCGTGTGGTTTACCACCAGCACTGTCTGAGCGGGCACACGGGCCGGGGTTGCTTCTGTGAGTTTCAGCACCGCTCGCCCTCACCTTCGTGTGCAGGCACATGTGCACAGCCACCTCTCTCAGCTGCCGGCAGGCGTCTGTTAGTCTGCGATATTTTCCTAAAGACCTACATTTTGAAAATTTTAGCCAGTTTCTTTCTCAAATCTGTGGAACAGAGTTTCTCTTAGTGTGTGTGAGTATGTGACGGAGTATGGGAGAGAGAGACACGCACCCAACCTGAAGTCGGCGTGTGAGCCTTGGGTGTGGTGTCTGATACCCACAGATGTTTTTCGGCAGCTTTCAAAGTGTGTGGGTCATTTGCCTTTCAGAAGAACAGTTTGCAGCTCTTTCATTGCCTGACCCTGTTCTTTAATGTGATAACACTTGCTAAATATCTGCTGGTATCTGGTGTGGCCTTTAGAGGTTTTACATTTTTATATTAAAAAAAAAAGAAGTCGGATGGTTTCTTGTAATATGGTGGCCCTCCGTATCCATCGGTTCCACATGTGTGGTTTCAACCAACTATGTACTGAAAATAAAATTGCATCCTTACAAACACGCAGACTTTTTTTTTTCCTTGTCATTGTTCGCTAAGCAACACAGTGTAGCAGCTATTTACCTAGCATTTACATTGTATTAGGTACTATGAGTAATCCTGGAGTTGCTGTACAACTTAAATGTAAAACTTGAAATGAGGATGATTTAAAATATGGAGGAGGATGTGCATAGGTTATATGCAAATACTCTGCCATTTTATATTAGGGACTTGAGCATCCACGGATTTTGGTGTCCGTGGGGGTCCTGGACCCAACCTGCCACGGATACGCAGGGACGACTATTTGGCATAGAGGCCTAATGCTTTTACCAAGGACAGCCGCTGCAGGCTGTGATCCCTGAGACGAGTGTGAGTTCAGTAAGGGCAGAGTTTTTGTTCTGGTTCTCAGCTGTGTCCCAGCACCTGGGATTGTCCCTGGCATACAGTAGATGCTTAGAAAAGATTTGATGAGAGGGTGGCCGTACATGAGGGGAAATTTTCCTCAGTATCAAAACATGTTGAAACTCACACGCTTCCAAGATGACGTATTCTCAGGTCTGCTGCCGTTGCCATTCTCTGCCTTATGTGATGGTGTTCTGTCTTACCAGAGGCTGTGGCCCTGAGAAAGATCACGTCTACCTGCAGCTGCACCACCTACCTCCAGAGCAGCTGGCCATGCCCTTGCCCGGCATTTCAGAGACAGCCATGATCTTCGCTGGTGTGGACGTCACGAAGGAGCCGATCCCTGTCCTCCCCACCGTGCATTATAACATGGACGGCATTCCCACCAGCTACGAGGGGCAGGTGATGGTGCTGGCTTCTCTCCCACAGCTGGAAAGAAGGCTGGGACAATGGGGCCCATCTCGCAGTTGTCTCTTTAGATCTTAGAGGAAGAGACAGATGTTTCCTTCCAGAAAGTACTGTATTGTTTGCTAAATTGCACTTGAAATTTCTATCACTGGAGGATGGAAGGAGGCTTAATAATTTATTCCTCCTTAGTAAACTGTCATAGATACATCATTTGCAGCTTTTCCCATTTTATAATTACTTTCCTATATGATCTTGTGTTATTTCTAATGAGCTTATACATCAAGGGATCTTTATAATTCCTATTTCTAATGATCTTGTACATCGAAGGATCTTTATAATTCATACCTGTGAGTGGTTTGCGGTTCACACAGAGCTTGTCAGTCACTTAGCCTCCTTGTTGGGCGAGGTGGGTGGAAGCTGTTACTTTCCCCGCATAGATGAAGAGGTGAACAGGGGGTAGAAGAGTCTGGAACATCAGTCTCCCCTGCTGATGTTCCTCCACCTGCCGTGCTCCTGGGTCTGAGCTGGAGCACAGGTGGTGAGGGCCTCGGGAACATGGGACACGGGGGACAGTCGCAGATGCTGACATTGGAGGCCCTCTGACCTGCTTGTAACAGCAGGTGCTCAGGGGCAGAGGGGAAACTGGGGTATACATTCGGAAGTTTCCTTCTGAAGAAGAGTAGCTATGGTCCTTACTTCCTTCTTAGATATGGTCTTTACTTCCCTCTCTTTGTTTCTTGGAGATGGAGACTCGCTCTGTCGCTTAGGCTGGAGTGCAATGGCGCGATCTCGGCTCACTGCAACCTCCGCCTCCCAGGTTCAAGCGATTCTTCTGCCTCAGCCTCCCGAGTAGCTGGGATTACAGGCACCTGCCATCATGCCTGGCTAATTTTTATATTTTTAGTTGAGACGGGGTTTCACCATGTTAGCCAGACAGGTCTCGAACCCCTGAACTCAGGTGATCCACCCGCCTCAGCCTCCCAAAGTGCTGGGATTACAAGCGTGAGCCACTGCATGCCCGACCTACTTCCCTCTCTTTCTCTGACCTGCAGCACAGACACCCTGTTGAGGGAGGTGGGCTTGTGGAGGAATGGGCATCTTGACATTTCACCTGAAATCTTCCTTTCCACAGGTCCTGAGGCACGGGAATGGCCAGGATCAGATTGTGCCCAGCCTGTACGCCTGTGGGGAGGCCGCCTGTGCCTCTGCACATGGTGTCAACCGCCTCGGGGCAAACTCGCTGTTGGACCTGGTTGTCTGGTCAGGCATGTGCCCTGAGCATCGCAGAGTCGTGCAGGCCTGGTAAGTGTTTTCTTCAGGACCCAGACTATTTGAGAAGGCGCAGGAGGTTAGTCTTTTTTCTTTTTTTTTGAGACAGGGTCAGCCCAGGCTGGAGTGCAGTGGCACAGTCATAGCAGCCTCAACCTCCCGAGCTCAAGCAGTCCTCAACACCTCAACCTTCAGAGTCCCAAGTAGCTGGGACTACAGATGTGCACCACCACACCTGGCTAATTTAAAAAAATTTTTTTTGGTAGAGACAGGGTCTCACAATATTGCCCAGGCTGGTCTTGAACTCCTAGACTCAAACAGTCTTCTGCCTCAGCTTTCCAAAGTATTGGGATTACAGGCATGAGCCACTGCACCCAGCCAGGTTACAAAGCCTTGATTTCTTACTGGAAATTTGCGTAGTGAGCATATAGAGGTAGTCTGGGTTTTTTCCCCTAGAAGTGATTAAACTGAGAAATCCAGAGATTATATGGTGGTAATGTTGAGACTAGATAGAGGCTGGTTGGGGATCTTAACAGTTAAGGTGACATTTTTGGGGTTACATTTTTTTTTTTTAAATTATTTTGCAGTCATTATTTTCTGTTTAGAAAAAGCACTATTAGGAAGCTGTTATTTTTAGGGGAAGTTCATTACGTATTACTTGCCTGATAAAAATCACTTATTTGCAATGAAATATTTAAAATAGTTGGCATGAATGAATATGTAACTTCTTGGTACTTAGAAAAATAATTTAGGCCATTCTAAAAGTACAACTAACCTCTATTAGAGGAGAAGGGCTGACTTAGAGTGAACAGGATTCCCACCCTCTACGGACAGATTCGATTTCACTTGCTGGTTTTCTTTTCAGGATAGCGTCAAATAATGTGCAGGAAAAGGAATACCGTGTGTGGGAGTGTGAGTCTTATGTGCACGAAGAACAGGACAGTTAGCATCGTTCCCACCTCCAGAGATCCTCACGGTGGTCATGCAGCCTCGTGTGCTCAGAACAGTGTGAGGTGGATGAGGCACTGGTGGATGTTTGCGTGGCAAGGATGGTGGGACCCCAGGCCCACGTTCTTCCCGTTAGCTTTCTCTGGTGTTAACTGTTTAGCATCATTTCTGCTGTTTTTATAGAACAGGCGCTTTTTGCTTTTTGTATGGACTCAAGTGAAATAAAAACTAGCACCGCCGTACCTTATAAACATGACCCTTTTCTATCTGTAGTTAGAAAGGTACAGGCAGTATTAAAAGGGTAGCTACTTCAGACACTGTGTCTCTGTGGATCTGACGACAGCTCAGGAGGCCAGCACATGCAGAGCCGGCGTCTCATCCCCAGCCGTTGCTGATCATCGGCGAAGGCGGAGTTCAGGTGCCTCGCTCCTGACGCCACAGGTTGTGCTTGTCTCACTCCATAGCCCTGCACTTTGTCGCAGTGAGGTCTGATACCACTTCTCTCAGAGCAGTGTAGAAATTTTGAGCTTCTCTTTCTTTGAAAATGCAGAAAAGAACATTTTGTGAGAATACCCTATACTTGACATCTGAGAAACCGCTCACACATGCAGCATCTCACGCAGAATGCTGTGGAGTCGGACTCAAAAGGCTGCACGCCTGTGGTCCTGTTGATAGGACATTCTGGACAAGGCACATCTAGGGAAGAAAAGGGATTGGTGGTTGCCAGAGGCTGTTTCCTGATTGTGCTGAGGCTTACAGACACAGCTCTGTGTGTGTCAAAGTTTGAAAAACCTACATTAAAAATGATGAGTTTATTTTACTGTATCTTTACGCTTTAATTTTTAAAAATGAAAAGGAAAGAAAAAATGCTTGTAGCATCCCTACTTCTCCCCCAACCCCCGACCCCCCCAAAAATATATATATGTGTATTTTTAGACATAGTCTCCCTCTGTCACCCAGGCTTGAGTGCAGTGGTACGATCAGGTGCACGCCACCACATCTGGCTAATTTTTAAAAATGTATTCTAGGGACAGGGTCTCCCTGTGTTGCCCAGGGTGGTCTTGAACTCCTGACCTCAAGTGATCCTCCTGTCTCAGCCTCCCAAAGTGGTTACATGCATCTATCCATGTGTTAAAATCGGTAGAACTGAGGCCGGGTGCAGTGGCTCACACCTATAATCCCACCACTTTGGGAGGCCAAGGCAGGCCGATTGCTTGAGCTCAGGAGTTCGAGACCAGCTTGGGCAAGGTGGTGAAACCCCGTCTCTACCAGAAATACAAAAATTAGCTGGGCATGGTGGCTCACACTTGGGTAGTCCCAGCTACTTGGGAGGCTGAGGTGGGAGGATTGTTGGAGCCTAGAAGGCGGAGGTTGCTGTGAGCCGAGATCACACCACTGCACTCCAGCCTGGGCAACAGAGGGAGGAGACACTGTCTCAAAAAAAAAAAAGAAAAAAGAAACTGTAGAACTGTCCACCGAAAGAAAAAAGTCAATTTTAATGGATGATCAATTTTTAAAGCGTTATAAACAAAAGGAAAAGAGACACCAGCAAGCCTAGAAGCATTTGAGCAGACCGTCAAGAGACCCACAGCCTGGTCCCGAGGAGAGGCGGTAGGCGGGACAGGGCCTGTTTGACTCCTGCATTTCATACCTCCTATCTCCTGCATGTGTTACCTATTGAAGAAAAAATACATATAATTTTATAAAAAAAAAAAACCTTTAAAACTTTTTTCAAGACATCTTGGAAACACAAGAGTTGCAAATCTTGGCCGTGCGCAGCAGCTCACACATGTGATCCCAGCACTTTGGGAGGCTGAGGCAGGTGGCTCACCTGAGGTCAGGAGTTCGAGACCAGCCTGGCCAACATGGTGAAACCCCATCTCTACTGAAAATACAAAAATTAGCCAGGTATGGTTGCAAACTCCTGTAGTCCCATCTACTCCAGAGTCTGAGGCAGGAGGATTGCTTGAACCAGGAGGTGGAGGTTGCAGTGAGCCGAGATGGTGCCACTGCACTCCAGCCTGGGCTACAGAGCAAAATTCCATCTCAAAAAAAAAAAAAAAAAATTGCAAATCTTGAAGTATAGGTGAGAGCACACAACAGTCCAAATCAGCAGGTGACTTGCAAGCACACAGCAGCCACCTTCCTCCCCCTAATGTGAAGGACAGTGGGGCGGCCGGCCCCTTGGGACCACCATCTGGAAGGTGTCATTTTTTCCCGTTAGTGGAGTGACATTTATATACACTTAATGTATATAAATCTGTATACATTTAATTTTTTTTTTTTGTAAGACAGGGTCTCGCTCTGTTGCCCAGGCTGGAGTGCAGTGGCGCGATCTCGGCTCACTGCAACCTCCACCTTTCGGGTTAAAGCAGTTCTCATGCCAGATAATTTTTGTGTTTTTAGTAGAAATGAGGTTTTGCCACGTTGGCCAGGCTGCTCTTGAACTCCTGACCTCAAGTGCTTCACCTACCTCAGCCTCCTAAAGTGCTGGGATTACAGGCGTGAGCCACTGCACCTGGCCTACATTTTAATTTTTTAATTTTAGAGATGATTTCTAGTTTATTCACTCTAAGATCACTTAATGGATATCTACTGTGTGCCAACAGTTTTGCCTTTTATGTCTGTTCTTTAAAATTGGCCCCAACTCAACAGATGGCCTCAGATGTAGGGTGGGTTGGCAGTGTGTTAGCTCAGGAGACTTACACCGTTTCCAGGCTCCTTGAGCGGCTATGCTACATTTTTGTGTGTAGTACTAAATCCATTTGTTTTTTTAAAACGGTTTTCAAAAGTTAAATTCTAGCTCTTTTTGTTGTTGTTTTAGGAGATAAAGTCCCTCCAATTAAACCAAATGCTGGGGAAGAATCTGTCACGAATCTTGACAAATTGAGATTTGCTGATGGAAGAAGCATAAGAACATCGGAACTGCGACTCAGCATGCAGAAGGTAAGAGCCTGGACTCGCTCTGGAGTGAGCAGGCTGGCTGCATACCTGGCCCTGCACTGGTTTTGTTTTTTTAAAAACAGATCTAGGGGGATGCAGGTGCAGCTTTGTGTGGATGTACTGGGAGGTGGTGGAGTCTGGGCTTTTCATGTACCTGTCACCCAAGTCGTGTGTGTTGTACTCAGCAGGTAATTGCTCATCCCCACCCCTCCCGCTTTTTGGAGCCCACAGTCTGTTAGTCCACTCCGTGTGTCCATGTGTACTCACCGTTCAGCTCCCACTTCCAAGGGAGAATGTGTGACACTTGACCTTCTGACTCACTTAGGATAGTGACCTCCCATTCCATCCGTCTGGCTGCAGAAGACATGATTGCATTCTTTTTTTATGGCCAAGTAGTATTTCATGGTATATATGTACCACATTTTCTTTATCCGGTCGTCCGTTGATGGGCACTTAGGTTGATTCCATGACTTTGCTATTGTGACTAGTGCTGCAATAAACATACGAGGCTGCACCAGTATGTGGAGGTAAACAGCAGTAGGACATACTCCTCACTGTATCAAGAATATGAAAGAGACCAGAAGTGCACTTCTTCTCCACATAGAAGGTCAGCAGGCCAGGGCAGAATTAGTGACTGCTTAGCATCCAGGACAGCCTTCTGTGGTTCACTCGTGTGTGCTTGGGCATGACCTCCGTGCCCTGACCGTCGCTGGCTGTCATGGATGAGTCACAGTGTGGAGGAGAGGGAGCCGCAGGACTGCCGGAGAAGCTCCGTCCCCAGCAGGGCAGCTTTCTCTTAGAGGTTTCCTGGAGTTCAACACAACACTGGTGCTTACATCTCAGGCCCAGATATTGATCATGTCATCATGCCTGGCTTCCAGCAGCTCGGAAACGTCTTTAAGCTAGACCTGTTGCTGCCCCTAAATATACTCAGCAGAGAGGGAGAGTGGGCGGCAGGTGGACAGTGATCTGTGCGGCCTGTGCTGCTGGGAGTCGGTCCAGTAGGACCGTCTGTGATGATGGAAATGTTGAGTGTTTGCCGTCCAGTATGGCAGCCATTAGCCATGGGGCCGTGGAGAACCTGATATATAGTCAGTCTAAGAAACTCAATTCCTCTAATAACAAGGATTCTTGTCCATGAATGAGATCTCTTGTCTGCTATTTGCAAGAATTTCTGCGTATTTTCTAGAAAGAAGTCCACTGCTTTAGTCCTATTCTGAAAGGCATTTGGTGTTAGACACAAGAGAACAGGTTCCCTGCTGACAATTTTCAGAGGCCCGTGCCCTTCGGTCTTCAGGTGAGGCTGGGCTTGAGGGAGGTTTTGTGGAACGGTGAGAAGAACAGCGTGACTAAGGCACAGAAGGCTGAGTGATGCCCTGCAGTGCTTTTGTAGGGTTGGAGGCCAGCTGGGAAAGAAGGAACCCTTGCGTTAGAGAATGGGAACATGCCTTAGGATATAGAAATGGCAAATCTGAGATAGTTTGAAGTGAGAATACTAGAAGTGTTCCCACCAAACAAGGTGTGTCTTGGTGCCTGCTGTATCCCAGGCTCCGTGAGGTGCCGGAGTCAGCACTGAACAAACAGAGCTTCCTATGCTTGCGGAAATGCATTTCGTTGGGGGAAGGGATTTTTCTGCTGACTCTGGCTATTAATAGTAACAATCAAAAAAAGAAATGAGGTAAATTGATAGAAACAGGCCCCCAAATGTGGCCATAAACTGGCCCCAAAACTGGCCATAAACAAAATCTCTGCAGCATGTGACGTGCTCGTGATGGCCAGGACGACCACGCAGGAAGGTTATGGGTTTACCGTAATGAGGGCAAGGAACACCTGGCCCACCCAGAGTGGAAAACCTCTTAAGACCTTCTTAAACCACAAACAATAGCATGAGCGCTCTGTGCCTTAAGGACATGCTCCTGCTGCAGATAACTAGCCAGACCCATCCCTTTATTTCCTGTAAGGAATACTTTCAGTAAGTCTTATCACTGGCTTGCTGTCAATAAATACGTGGGTAAATCTCTGTTTGAGGCTTTTGGCTCTGAAGGCTGTGAGACCCCTGATTTCCCACTCCACACTCTATATTTCTGTGTGTGTGTCTTTACTTCCTCTAGTGCCACTGGGTTAGGGTTTCCATGACCCAGCTGGTCTTGGCAGTAAATATTGAAAAGGAATAGATACAGTTGCCATTATTTACAGATATAATTTCCAAAAAATTTCCAGAGAATAAACGGAAAAACTAACAGAAACAAAACAAGAATGTAGTAAGGTATGTGTATAAGAGATTTGTATGTAAAAATCAGTAGCTTTGCAATGTGCCAGCAGTAATCTGCTCAGACATCAGTAAATATCTCATTCGCATTTCAAACAAAAAATTTAAAATGCCTTGAAATAATGTAACCAGAAATACGAAAAGATGATATGAAAACGTCGCTGCTAAAGGACATGAAAGAATGTAATACTAGATTCTGAGATGCAATTTTTTTCATTTGTTCTTCCTGAAAAACCATTAGGTTGATGTGCATTACAGTGTTACGATTATGTATGAGTCTAAGGAAAATCAGATGAAATGTCCAAATTGAACCACGAAGGTGCATTGGTAGAGGAAGAGACAATTAGGGTCAGTGGAGCAAAGCACAGTTAGAGGGAGAAGCAAGGAGGAGGAGGGATCACGGAGGTGGTGCCTGTGTGTCCCACAGGAAGCAAAAGCTGATGCCCAGTTCCCAGCATACCTAAGTAAACTTCAGGTCCACTCCTAGCACGTTTCTCGTGATAGTAAAACTATGAAGGAACTCAGTGTACAAGGAGCTTCTACAAAATAGGCAGAAGACAGTAGCCAGATGGGCCAAGGGCCCCAGCCACCCACGCCCCTCCCTCTCCTTGAAGACCTTCGGTTCCAACCCCACCATCAGCAGGGCTCTGCTCAGTTCCTCCTTGTGTGTATCACCACAGGGCTGCTGGCTCGTGTCACGTTCACCACCAGACCCCACATCAGGAGTCCCGCCAGGGGTGTGGGGAGGCAGTGCTGCCTGGTTGGCCGTGGAGCCGTATGGAACGTGGTGCCTCACAGGCAGTCTGCTTGGCGTCCTGGACCCTGGCTGTATCCCGCTGGAAAGGATGTGTGTGGGTCTAAGATATGTATATAATAGAAACATTTATTCAGAAGCTTTAGTCAAGACTTCATTTTTAAGTTCAGAGTAATAAACTCATAGTCTAAATTTCCTAATTTTTCTGTTTAATTTACATAAATAAAATGAAATGCAAAACAACAGGTCTAAAAGTTAAGCAGTTCTTGGTATGGCTGCTTCTATGAATTAAAAGTTTACAAATAATATTTTGTGCCACAGTCAACGCAAAATCATGCTGCCGTGTTCCGTGTGGGAAGCTTGTTGCAAGAAGGTTGTGGGAAAATCAGCAAGCTCTATGGAGACCTGAAGCATCTGAAGACGTTTGACCGGGGTGAGCAGACAGTGGGCTCTGTGCACACTGTTGGGCCCTGCCTTCTGCAGGGTGGGCTGGTGTCTGTCCCGTCAGTGCTGACTTAGTTCCATGCTTGCTGTCTGGATGGGTGCTGGCCCCCAGCTGTAAAGCCACAACCAGTGACTCCATGGACTAGCAGGCCCAGGCTGACAGCTCGGAGGGCCCGTGTGACTGGGTCCCACCTGCCCCTGATGGAACTTTTTGTGTCCCCAGGAATGGTCTGGAACACGGACCTGGTGGAGACCCTGGAGCTGCAGAACCTGATGCTATGTGCGCTGCAGACCGTCAATGGAGCAGAGGCGGGGAAGGAGTCACGGGGCGCGCACGCCGGGGAAGACTACAAGGTGCGCCTTCTCGCCACGCCCACCTGCACCTGCCTTTTCCTCCCGCCTGGTGGGACTCAGCCCCACCCCTGCATTTTCTCTGCATTTTATGTCGTTTCCCCAAAAGTATATCCAAAAAATGCCTTTTTCCCTCTGGTAACTTTGATCCCTGGGTTCTCGCCATTTTCTGGATCACTGTGACCTGTTCCTTGCTTTGGGTCGGCATCCACTGATGCCAGCAGTGGCATCTCCAAGCCAATGTGCTTTGCTGTTAGAAGGCCAAGGTTAGAAGTGCAGCCAGCGTGGCATGACCAGGAAATAAATGCCAGTTTATTAAATAACGAGTAAGCCACCGTTTCAAGCCTGCCCTATGGAGGAAATGCCAGTTTATTAAATAACGAGTAAGCCACCGTTTCAAGCCTGCCCTGTGGAGGAAATGCCAGTTTATTAAATAACGAGTAAGCCACCGTTTCAAGCCTGCCCTGTGGAGGAAATGCCAGTTTATTAAATAACGAGTAAGCCACCGTTTCAAGCCTGCCCTGTGGAGGAAATGCCAGTTTATTAAATAACAAGTAAGTCACCGTTTCAGACCTGCCTTGTGGAGGAAATGCCAGTTTACTAAATAACGAGTAAGCCACTGTTTCCAACCTGTCCTGTGGTTTGGAAAAGGTATTATAGAGCCTGTCCTGTGGTTTGATTACGGAGACTGCCCTGTGGTCACTTGTTCTTCAGATGAACTGATTTTTGTGCAGAGCACACGTGTTGGATTCTGCCTGGTAAGAGTTTTTCACATATGATAGCAAAAAACGACGGAAAGGGAAGCTTGGGGTGCAAATGCAAGTTCAGGATAAACCACATCGGCAAAAGGACAAAGGCTCCACAAGGCAGGCGCACAGGCTGGTTCAGGGCCATGTGTGGGCGGCTGGTGGCAGCCTTTCCAGTCAGCTGAACACAGTGAATGGGAAAATCATTTTTATTCACCATGAAATTTTACTGATTTACCCTCCACTAGAATATGCTGATGGCTGTGATCACTGCTCAGAATTTGCTCGTCTCCTCATACATATTAAGAGTCTTTCCTGCAAAGTATATGAATCCGTGTTTGCCAGAATACAGAATAATAATAAATTTATTATTTTTAATTTTTTGAGATGGAGTCTCATTGTCCCCCAGGCTGGAGTGCAGCGGCGCGATCTCAGCTCACTGCAACCTCTGCCTCCCAGGTTCAAGTGATTCTCCTGCCTCAGCCTCCCAAGCAGCTGGGGTTACAGGCGCATGCCACCGTGCCCGGCTAATTTTGTATTTTCAGTAAAGACGGGGTTTCACCATGTTGGCCAGGCTAGTCTCGAACTCCCGACCTCAAGTGAACCACCCACCTTGGCCTTCCAAAGTGCTAGGATTACAGGCATGAGCCACTGTGCCTGGCCAGGAGCATAAATTTAGTTGGTGACAACGAGTTTTAATTAGAATAGAAGCCAGGTGCAGTGGCTCCCACCTGTAATCCCAGCATTTGGGAGGCTGAGGCAGGCAGATCACTTGAGCCCCGGAGTTCTAGACCAGCCTGGGCAACATGGCGAAACCTGTCTCTACAAAAATTAAAAAATTAGCCAGGCGTGGTGGTACACACCTGAGGTACCAGCTGCTCAGGAGGCTGAGGCAGGATGATTGATTGAGCCCGGGAAGTCAAGGCTCTGGCGAGCTGTGATCACACCATTGCGCTCCAGCCCAGGTGACATAGCGAGACCCTGTCTCAAAAGAGAAAAAAAGTGTTTTTAATAAAAACAGGCTGAAAGAAAAGATGGAGGTAGTCTCCCAGCGCTTGGAGCAAAAAGACAAAGTATTTGATAAACTCTTAGGTACATAAAGGATGTCTAAGGGAACATGCGGACATGGATTACTCTGGACTCACTGCTGGCTGCACATCGCTGGCCAGCCATGTGGCCTCTGTGGGTTCTGAACGTGTTGATGGTGCCAACCTCCTGGGCTGAAGTGGAAATGGAATGGGTTCTAGGGCATCTGTCTCTTAGATCATTTTAATGTTTGCTGTGTTTTTTCTGTATTGCTCTGTTAGAGTAATGAGAAATGTGATGGTGTTTCTGGCCTCAGGTGCAGATTGATGAGTATGATCACTCCAAGCCCATCCAGGGGCAACAGAAGAAGCCCTTTGAGGTGCACTGGAGGAAGCACACCCTGTCCTATGTGGACGTCGGCACTGGGAAGGTCAGTGTGGAGCTCGTTCTCACCACAGCCCAGCACCCACACGGCCCCGCCCAGGTCTGCGGGCTGGCCTTGCTGATGGTGAACGCGGAGGAGCAGGCCAGATTTAAATCAACTCCCGACAGATTTGAGGCACCGCTGAAAAAGGCACTCTGACAGCAGTCGGGCTTCGGGCTGGAAACAGAATCCAGTGCCTGCAGGTGGTTCAGAGGAGCCTTAAGGAAGGGTTGCTCTGTGGTGTGGGCCAGATGGAAGTCACTGGGCAGGAGCAAGTGTCCAAGGCCTGGTGGCAGGGGAGGAGATGATGATTGTGGACCTAGCGAGAAAGTCAGCATCTGTGTGGTGGGGACAGAGCCACTACCAGAAACCAGTCCCGAGCCAAGGGAGCCCAGAAGAGACCCCTCCCCTCTCTTCCCATGGGCTGGGCCAACTGGAAGCATCTGCAGGGGAGCAGAGGGGATGTGGTGCAGCCCTTAGCATCCCCTGGGCACTGAGCAAGCAGAGAAGGGCAGAAATGGAGGCAGGGTTGGGGTAAGCAGCGTCCTGGGAACAGCCAGCCGAGGGTGTGGTAGGGGGGTTGCAGCTTGTTCCACACAAGCACAGCGTCTTGGGAACAGCCAGCCGAGGGTGTGGTAGGGGGTTGCAGCTTGTTCCACACAAGCACAGTTCACCTGTGTGGCATTTCCACTGGGCATTGAGATTCAGAAATCATGAAGATAGAAAGCTTTTACCCTTAAGCTTTTCATAACTTGTAAGGGAGAGTCGTATAATCACTTAGCTGTGTCTGTGGAAGTTACCTTTGGACTCTCACTATCATCTAGTGTGTCTGTGATTCAGGCAGTGGGTCATTTTCAGAATTTATCATGAAGGCCATTTCCTGATAGTATAGAGAGGTCACACTTCACTCGCTTAGCACAAGTCTATTTTTAATGTTTCCGGGTTCAGGTTTTTTGTTTTGTTTTTGTTGTTCTGAGATAGAGTCTCATCTCTTTTGCCCAGGCTGAAATGTGGTGGCTCGATCTCATCTCACTGCAGCCTCAACCTCCCCTCGGCTCAGGTGATCCTCCCACCTCAGCCTCCCGGGCACATGCCACCATGCCTGGCTAATTTTTGTATGTTTTGTAGAGACGGGGTTTTGCCACGTTGCCCAGGCTAGTCTTGAGCTCCTGAGCTCAAGTGATCCACCTGTCTTGGCCTCCCCAACAGGCATGAACCAACACGCCCAGCCAGTTTCAGTGATTTTTGAAGAAATACATACTCATTTTAGAAAGTACAAAGAGATTGAAATAAGAGCTCACTAACCAGAGATGACCCATTATGGTTTAAATTTCTTTGTATATGTGCCTACCTTTTCCTGTGTGTGCATATTTAATACACGGCTTGAGTATTCCTTCTCTGAAATCCTTGGGACCAGAAGTGTTTTGGATTTCAGGCTTGTTCAGACTTTGGAATATTTGCATTACACTTACTGTCTGAGCATCCTTAATCGGAAGATCTGACTCCATAGCACATTTCTTTTGAATGTCATGCTGGTGCTCAGAAAGTTTCAGATTTGGGAGAATTTCAGATGTTTGGATTAGGGATGTTCTACCTATATAAATATTTACTTTGAAGTAGAAAAACTGGAAGTAGATAGTTTAAACATGAAGTGTCTTGGTATAGACAAGGGTTCTCCCACTTTTCATGATGGGAGCATTTTTGTAAAGCAAAGCACTGAGAATCTGGTACAGTGTCATTTTCGTTGCTCTGTTCCACTCTACCGATCTGCCGTCATTTACAGTCCCCTGTTGCGCATGTAGATCATTTTTGAATTTGTTATTGGAAAATACTGCAGCAAATACCTTAAAGTTCACATGCCGTAAATCTACTTTTATAGTTAAAATTTTTCAAAAGGAACACAAGAGATGGCTTTTTGTACATTTTTGTGCTTAACTTACCACTGACTTCTTTTCAAGGTCACTGTGGAATATAGACCCATAATTGACAAAACTTTGAACGAGGCTGACTGTGCCACTGTCCCCCCAGCCATTCACTCCTACTGATGAGACAAGATGTGGTGATGACAGAATCAGCTTTTGTAATTATGTATAATAGCTCATGCATGTGTCAATGTCATAACTGTCTTTATACGCTTCTGCACTCTGGGGAAGAAGGAGTACATTGAAGGGGGATTGGCACCCAGTGGCCGGGGAGCGTGGCACTTACCTTTGTCCCTTGCTTCATTCTTGTGACAAGATAAAACTGGGCACAGCTGTTAAATAAAATATAAATGAACAAACTTTCTTTTATTTCCAAATCCATTTAAAATATTTTCCTGTTATGACTTGTCATATTTGTTGACCTAAAAATCAAATGTAATTATCTTTGTATTCTGTTACATCAAAATCCAGATATTTTGTTGCAGTTTCTTTTTTTTTTTTTTTTTTTTGAGACAGGGTTGGTGCAGTCTCAGCTCACTGCAGCCTCAAACTCCTGGGCAGCTCAGGTGATCTTCCCGACTCAGCCTTCTAAGTAGCTGGGGCTACAGGTGTGCACCACCACGCCCAGCTCATTTATTTTGTAATTGTAGGGACAGGGTCTCACTTTGTTGCCTAGGCTGGTCTCAAACTGCTGGGCTTAAGTGATCGTTCCTCCTTGGCCTCCCGAAGTGCTGGAATTATAGGTGTGAACCACCATGTCTGGCCTTGTAGTTTATTTCTAAGTTCAAATTAATGTTGGTGCTTTTCCTCCTTTTTTCTTAGCAGATGGTTTGCTAGGTGAGTGTGTCCTCGATTCTTTAAATCAGGGGTCCCCAATCCCCAGGCCACAGATTGTTCCAGTCCATGGCCTGTTAGGAACCAGGCCACACAGTAGGAGGTGAGCAGCCAGCCAGTGAGCATTACTGTGTGAGCTCCGCCCCCTGCCAGAGCATTACTGTGTGAGCTCCACCCCCTGCCAGAGCATTACTGTGTGAGCTCCGCCCCCTGCCAGAGCATTACTGTGTGAGCTCCGCCCCCTGTCAGAGCATTACTGTGTGAGCTCCGCCCCCTGCCAGAGATTACTGTGTGAGCTCCGCCCCCTGGCAGAGCATTACTGTGTGAGCTCCGCCCCCTGGCAGAGCATTACTGTGTGAGCTCCGCCCCCTGCCAGAGATTACTGTGTGAGCTCCGCCCCCTGTCAGAGCATTACTGTGTGAGCTCCGCCCCCTGCCAGAGTATTACTGTGTGAGCTCTGCCCCGTCAGAGCATTGCTGTGTGAGCTCCGCCCCCTGCCAGAGTATTACTGTGTGAGCTCCACCCCCTGTCAGCATTACTGTGTGAGCTCCACCCCCGTCGGCATTACTGTGTGAGCTCCGCCCCCTGCCAGAGCATTACTGTGTGAGCTCTGCCCCCTGTCAGAGCATTGCTGTGTGAGCTCCGCCCCCTGCCAGAGTATTACTGTGTGAGCTCCACCCCCTGTCAGCATTACTGTGTGAGCTCCACCCCCGTCAGCATTACTGTGTGAGCTCCGCCCCCTGCCAGAGCATTACTGTGTGAGCTCCGCCCCCTGCCAGAGCATTACTGTGAGCTCTGCCCCCTGTCATCATTACTGTGTGAGCTCCGCCCCCTGTCATCATTACTGTGTGAGCTCCGCCCCCTGCCAGAGCATTACTGTGTGAGCTCCGCCCCCTGCCAGAGCATTACTGTGTGAGCTCCGCCCGCTGTCATCATTACTGTGTGAGCTCCGCCCCCTGTCATTACTGTGTGAGCTCCGCCCCCTGTCATATCATTACTGTGTGAGCTCCGCCCCCTGTCATATCATTATTGTGAGCTCCGCCCCTGTCATATCATTGCTGTGTGAGCTCCGCCTCCTGTCAGATCAGTGGTGGCATTAGATTCTCATAGGAGTGGAATCCTGTTGTGAACTGCGCATGAGAAGGATCTAGGTTATGCCCCGCTTATGAGAATCTAATACTGATGATCTGAGATGGAACCGTTTCATCTCCAAACCATCCCCACACTTGTCAGTGGAAAAAGTGTCTTCCGTGAAACCAGTCCCTGGTGCCAAAAAGGTTAGGGACTGCCGGTTTAAATAACCAAATGCTAAAAGAACTGGCATAGAAGTAAATGGGCTGCTGCTTTATTTTTAGGCTGTTCTTTTTAGAGAGCAATGACAGTTATTTCCAAGTTTGTCATTAGAAAATAATATTAGGTTGGAGCAAAAGTAATTGCAGTATTTGCCATTGCTTTCAATGGTAAAAGGCACAATTACTTTTGCAGCAACTTAATATTATAAATTTGTTCTTAAAGTGTATTTTTGATAAGAAAGCCGTTTTGTTTTTCCTTCTGTTAATTTTTTGTTTTTTTCTTGGTCGAGACAGAGTCTTGCCATGCTGCCCAGGCTGGAGTGCAGTGGTGTGATCTCGGCTCACTGCAGCCTCCACCTCCTGGGCTCCAGCAGTCCTCCCACCTCAGCCTCCCTAAGAGCTGAGACTACAGGTGTGAGCCACCATGCCTGGCTAATTTTTAGAGACAGGGTTTCACCCTCTTGCCCAGGCTGGTCCCAAACTCCTGGGCTCAAGCAGTCCTCCTGCCTCAGCCTCCCAGAGTATTGGGATTATAGGTGTGAGCCACTGCCAGAAAAACGTTTCCTAAGACAAGGCAGGTCTTACATTATATTTAAATTTTTTTTAATGATGTCTTTTTTGGCAGTGCACAGCCAGAGGACAACACATCACACACAAGAAACAGTTGTGCTCATGTGATGGGGGCCTCAGCACTAGGAAGGAGTGGACTGTTGGCGCACGCAGCAGCTTGAATAAATCTGAAAGTCACTACGCTGCGTAAGAGAAGCCAAATAAAGCGCATGCTGTGTACAGAGGGTGTCGAGAATGCCTCCTACGTGACGGAAAGCAGATCCGTGGTTCCCTGCAGACTGGCAGGAGCAGATTCCAAAGGCACAGGAAGAAGCTTGCAGGTAGAATGTGTTCATTACCTTCTGCGCATTATACCACAAAAAAGCTGGGAATAAAAATGCTAACCAAAAAAAAAGGTGAAAGTAGATAAAATTTCTCAACTGTGTGATGGGTAAACGTGCAGGTTTGCTGTCATGCTTTGTTTATGAAGCTGTGGGGTACAAGGACTCTCATACGTCACTGTGGAATGCAGAACGTTGCAGCCTCATGGAAGAGGATTTGGCAGCATCTAACAAAACGACATGGCATTTGCCCTTAGACTCAGCAATTCTAGAATCTGCCTCAAAAAAAACTCTGGCAAAGAAATGAAAGGACTTTATCCACAGAGTTCTTTTCACAGCCTGAATGTGTTTGCCACAAAGTTCTTCACTGTGGCATTTGTAAAACTGGAAACAATCAAAATGTCCATCAGTAAGGGATTAGGAACATTAATTCGTGCAGTGGGGAACTCCGTACCAGAAGGAGGAATGAGGAACGCCTATTGATAAGGGGCAGAGTACATATAATATAATGCAAATATATATTTGCTTTTTCTTAAAACAGTACAAAGATAAAAATCTAAAGTGGTTGCTGTGGAGGACAGGGGTCAGTGGTGGAAGTGAGACCGAAATAGACTCTGAAGTAATATCTGGACTTTGAAATTGTAAGTGTTTTACATATTACCAAACTAAGTTTTTAAGATAGTCCCTAAAATTGAAAGAATGGTATCTGAAATGAATGAATCTAAATTCCTTGGATTGCATTCTACAGGCGCCAACCCTGAGACAAAAATTTGGAAGGTGGCCCTGAGCAGCAGCTGAAGGGAAGTGGGAGGTGAGACAGGAAAGAGGCGGCAGCATGGGGCGTCCGGGAGCCGGGTCTCATGTGGACAGCTGGGCCCGTGTTCACTGTGGGAGCTGGTGCGTTCCTTCACCAGCCCACGCTGCACAGGTTCAGGATGGTCAATTCCGGGCACCCCTGGCCTGCTCCAGGACATGCTGCTGCCACCAGAGAAAGCCCCTAGGCAGCGTCCCGGGTGCTGGTGGTGTCAGAATCGAGTTTGAGTCTGAGGAGTGACCTGGGGCTGGCTGGGCTAGGCAGCATCACGGGGTTCTGCAGCCCAACTGCACATCAGGCTGGTGACAGTCACGCAGCCTATTACTTCATGTGTCATCAGAGGATCGCTAGAACACAGCACTTCAAGTGTGCAGATTTAGTGAGCCATAGTCTAAAGACAAATAGAGCCACTGAATCCTAAATTTCAATCAATCATCTCCGTTACTCGTCTTATAGGTATTAATCCTTTGAAATTATGTGGGGTGGGAGTTAAAGCAAATAACTAATTATGTTAATGCTAAAACTAAGATTTTTCTGGCAAGGGAAAATCCTCCCAAGTCCCAGCACTTTGGGAGGCCGAGGTGGGCAGATGACCTGAGGTCAGGAGTTTGAGACCAGCCTGGCCAACATGGTGAAACGCCATCTCTACTAAAATTGAAAAATTAGCTGGGCATGGTGGCAGGTGCCTGTAATCCCAGCTATTGGGGAGGCTGAAGCAGGAGAATCGCTTGAAACAGGAGGCAGAGATTGCAGTGAGCCGAGATTGTGCCACTGCACTCCAGCCTGGGCAACAGGAACAAAACTCTATCTCAAAAAATAAAACAAGATTTTTCTGAGAAAAAGGTGTAAAACCGTATACTAAATTTGAAATAGAAATATAAGCGTGAACTCATTTGTTGTTCTTTTACCGTAGACACATTTTCTACCTCTGCCCCAGTAGCAGTAGACACATCAAGCACCTAGAAAGTGGTCTCTAATACATGAAAACCATGAATTCATAGTGGTGGTTTCAAAGCCAAAACCAAACAAACACATGTAATTGGTCACTCTTGGAGGTACCTAGGGCACTAACTCCTAACACTGGGAATGGACACTTGAAGGAAGATCAGTAATTATCCTGTCTTTTCTCTACAAATTGCAATTCAGGGAAACCTTGTTGATTAGGGAAAGTTCTTTACATAAGAATTCCTGCAAGTAAGTGAGTAAAGAATGACAGTTTAAGAATTGTCCCAGCCTGGCCAACATAGTGAAACCCCATCTCTAAAAATACAAAAAATTAGCCAGGCATGATGATGGGTGCCTGTAATCCCAGCTACTCAGGAGGCTGAGGCAGGAGAGTTGCTTGAACCTGGGAGACGGAGGTTGCAGTGAGCCGAGAGTGCGCCACTGCACTCCAGCCTGGGCAACAAGAGTGAGACTCTGTCTCAAAAAAAAAAAAAAAGAATTGTCAAATTGCTACCCCTAATGCCATGGTTCTCTAACCTGTGTAACAGGATCAGCTGGAGGGACGCTACCCCAGACCTTCCAATTCAGTCCTGGGGGGACCCTAGTCCAGACCTTCCGATTCGGTCCTGGGGGGGCCCTAGTCCAGACCTTCCAATTCAGTCCTGGGGGGACCCCACCCCAGACCTTCCGATTCAGTCCTGGGGAGACCCTACCCCAGATCTTCTGATTCAGTCCTGGGGGGACCCTCGTCCAGACCTTCCGATTCAGTCCTGGGGGGACCCCACCCCAGACCTTCCGATTCAGTCCTGGGGTACCCCACCCCAGACCTTCCGTTTTCAGTCCTGGAGGGACCCTACCCCAGATCTTCCGATTCAGTCCTGGTTCGGTCTGAGAATTTGCATTTCTAACATGTCCAGGGAACACAGTTTGAAAACCTCCACGGCTAACATGTAATGGGATGACATGGTCCAATAAATGAAGGAAAAATAACAGGTGGCAACCTCAGGCAGCTTCATCCCAACCAGTAAGAAAGTAAATCCTTTTGTAAACTAAGAGGAAGTATTAATATGGGCGTTTGAGCAAACATTTAAGTGTTAGGACAAAGAATTAAAAACTAGCACAGGCACCCCTGAAGCATGATAGGATGGCAACAGAAGGGCTGATTTAGTTTCCAAGAAATAACTGACAGGCAGTGTTGTGCGTGTGTCTACTACTTAGGAACCCAAAACAAACCTTCAGACCGTTTTCATGAGTACTGAGACCAAGAAAACCACTGGGCAGTGGGTGGTCTGGAAATGTAAATGTTGATGGTACTCCAGTAATGAGTCATGGAACAATGTTTCATATTGAAAATGTTTTTGTAAATGTGGGTTTCAGGGTTTCAAAGTGAACCCATATGTGTTAGGAGAAAGGACACACCAAAGAAGTAAAATAATTGGGTCAATATAAAAAGTAGAATATTGCCCAGAGAGAAGATGTGGATAATTCCTAATACGGATCAAAGGCACCAAAAAGGTGAGCTGTGAGTAAGATATTCAGACCTGCACCATCCCAAGCAGTAGCCACAGTGGCAAGTAGCCTCCTCACTGGACAGTGCAGCTACGGAATGATGCCATCACCGGAAAGTTCCATCAGCCAGCACCGATGCAGACCTTTGCAACTGCCCCTCACGCTGGACAGCACCTGTTTGATAGATTGTCCACTACGCAGTGAAAAGCCTGGGTGAAAAGCGGTATTTGGTAGAAGAGCAAAAAGGGGAAAAAAATTAAAAGTAGTAGGTCATTGTCCGCCAAACTGAATTCTGGCAGAAGAATGTTGGAAGCAAGATGGGAGCCACAGGAGAAAGTATCCTTGTCCCAAGACAGGAGGGGGTGCCAGGCATGGTTGGCTCTGTGCCTGGAATTCTATGGCCGGAATCTGGAAAAAGGAAAAGTGACTGGAAAAGGAAAGATTCTGTGTGCTTATGTCAAGATGCAGCCGTCCGTGATCCTGAGAAAATAAGTGAACAAAGTGGCTTTGGAGGGACGCTGTTGGATACACAAACAGATACAATGTGCACTTGCTATGCTTGTTCACACAAAGGACAGGATGGTCATCTGTTCATTGAACAACTACCTGTCGAGGGCCTATATGTGCCAAAGACATCAGATGAACAAGAGGGTGCACTGTGGAAAGCCTCAGGAACACAAGCGCCCAGAAACATTTAGAAAAATTCTAAGGAAAACAGAAAAGGCATTTTCAGATTAGCTCATAGAAATGAGACCAAAGGAAAGACTGGCCCAGTATTTGGATACATTATGTGATAAACCTTAACACAGGGAGGAAAGTGTTATCTTTCAATTAATTTCTCAACTTCTGGAGACCTTAGAACAGACCTGGCTAGGAGGAAATTGAATCCGAGGCAGGTGAGGACATAGTGGTGCCTCGATGCTTCCAGTGATTGCGTCAGCAGAACCAGGGGTGGGAGATGATCTCTCTTTTTGTTGGCAGATGGTGGTGTCTGCTGTAGCTTTGTCCCCTGGTGACGGGACTCAGGCAGTAACCCCCATCATTGGCAATACCCCCACCTCTGAGAATGTGGAGAGGACTTGTGAAGACAATGTTGTCCCAAGCAGCACAGCCCAGGTGCTGACAGGATTCAGAGTTAGAGCTTTCTTAGAGGTCAGGGTTGCGGAAGAGGCAGGGACTGCAGCTGCATAGTTTGTATATGTATCAGGCTAGTATCTTTTGTTCTAGACTCATCCATTTGTACATTCATATGAGTATGCATGCATGGTGTTTTTTCTTTTTCTTTTTCTTTTTTTTTTTTTTTTTGAGATGGAGTCTTGCTGTGTCACCCAGGCTGGAGTGCAGTGGCATAATCTTGCTTGACTGCAAGCTCCGCATTCCGGGTTCAAGAGATTCTCCTGCCTCAGCCTTCCGAGTAGCTGGGATTACAGGTGCCTGCCACCACACTTGGCTAATTTTTGTATTTTTAGTAGAGATGGGGGTTTCACCATGTTGGCCAGGCTGGTGTCGAACTCCTGACCTCAGTGATCCACCTGCCTTGGCCTCCCAAAGTGCTGGGATTACAGGCATTAGCCACTGCGCCCAGCCGTATGTCTCCATCTTTTTATTTCTTGCAATGTGTTGTTAAAGAAGTCAGGTGGTATGTGTACACAAGTAACGTATACTTGTTGAATATTTCTTATTTATCATACCCTGTCTCGTTCCAAAAGGATTTTACATGACTTATAATTTTAATATAATCCGGGGGAGATGGGCAGATTCAGCTCTGGGAGGCCAGCAGAATGGCTTTTAGGTCCTCCTTGGATTCAGAAAATACTTCTTGAAAGATATTTGAGGTAAATCTTACAGGATTAGAGGTTAGCCAGATGAAAAGAAATCAAGAGAGGAGAGAGGAGCCCCCACAAAGGACTGACCCAGGGCAATAACGGGGAAAGAACTTGGAGGTACAGAGGCAGACCTTGGTGTTTCCCAGGGTGTGGGACGTTGGGGGTAGTAAGGCTGGAGTGGGTAGAGGAAAGGGCTAGGGTGACACCACGGGGTATTAGGTGGAACTGAGGGAAACAGAAATAGGAGCAGAGAAAAGGGAATGAGAACGGGAAAGAGGGAGGTGGGAAATAGAAGAGGGAGTTTCCAAACAGCAACAACAACAGAAACAAGTGTTTTGGGTTGTGGAGCGTTTGCCCTGCAGAGAGCTGGGTCTGCCCTTGTCCCTTTTGGGGATTATGAATCAGTGCGTGGAGCCGCGCGGCCACATCCACCATTCACTTGCACTTGAGTGACAGCCAAGCTACAGTCATGAATACGTTTCTTTCTTTTTACAGAAGAACAGTAAATTGACTTTATTCCTTATAAAGGTGATACTGGAGAATGTGACATAGATTTGCTGGCACATGGGTTTCCTATGAGCAAACCCCAGAATTGGACACACGTATCTGGTGCTGCATTGGAATCATCCCAAAAAACCAAGGCTTGCATTGCATATCTATCTGCTGTCTGCTGAAGGAGCCCTGTCTGTGTGCCCAAGGAAGTGACATCCTTGCCAAGGGCTGTCCCTGTCGCAGGAGATGAAGGAGCCCTGTCTATGTGCTCAAGGACAGTGGCTTCCTTGCCAAGGGCTGTCCCTGTTGCAGGAGATGAAGGAGCCCTGTCTATGTGCTCAAGGACAGTGGCTTCCTTGCCAAGGGCTGTCCCTGTTGCAGGAGATGAAGGAGCCCTGTCTATGTGCTCAAGGGCAGTGGCTTCCTTGCCAAGGGCTGTCCCTGTTGCAGGAGATGAAGGAGCCCTGTCTATGTGCTCAAGGACAGTGGCTTCCTTGCCAAGGGCTGTATCTGTTGCAGGAGATGAAGGAGCCCTGTGTGCCTGAGGACAGTGGCTTCCTTGCCAAGGGCTGTCCCTGTAGCAGGGGAAAGCCTTTCAGGACCCTTTCTTAGAGAAATAGGTCTCAAAGTGAATGAATATACCTCCTCACATACTCACCAAGCAGCCTGCAGAGGATACAGCTTTCCATGTGGCTCAGGGAACAGTTGATATCAACAGTCTCTCAATTCCTTTATTATTATTATTATTATACTTTAAGTTCTGGGATACATGTGCAGAACGTGCAGCGTTGTTACATAGGTATATATGTGCCATGGTGGTTTGCTGCACCCATCAACCTGTCATCTACATTGGGTATTTCTCCTAATGCTATCCCTCCCCTTGCCCCCAACCTCCCAACAGGCACCGGTGTGTGATGTTCCCCTCCCTGTGTCCATATGTTCTCATTGTTCAACTTCCACTTATGAGTGAGAACATGCAGTGTTTGGTTTTCTGTTCCTGTGTTAGTTTGCTGAGAATGATGGTTTCCAGTGTCATCCATGATCCTGCAAAGGACATGAACTCATCCTTTTTTATGGCTGCATAGTATTCCATGGTGTCTATGTGCCACATTTTCTTTAACCAGTCTGTCATTGATGGGCATTTGGGTTGGTTCCAAGTCTTTGCTATTGTGAATAGTGCCGCAATAAACATACATGTGCTCGGGGCTGGGCGCGGTGGCTCAAACCTGTAATCCCAGCACTTTGGGAGGCTGAGGCGGGTGGATCACGAGGTCAGGAGATCAAGACCATTCTGGCCAACATGGTGAAACCCCTTCTCTAGTAAAATGCAAAAAATTAGCTGGGCGTGGTGGTGTGTGCCTGTAGTTCCAGCTACTCAGGAGGCTGAGGCAAGAGAATCGCTTGAACCCGGGAGGTGGAGGTTGCAGTGAGCCGAGACCGTGCCACTGCACTCCAGCCTGGCAACAGAGCAAGACTCCGTCTCAAAAATAATAAATAAACATACGTGTGCATGTGTCTTTACAGTAGAATGATTTATAATCCTTTGGGTATATACCCAGTAATGGGATGGCTGGGTCAAATGGTATTTCTAGTTCTAGATCCTTGAGGAATCGCCACACTGTCTTCCACAATGGTTGAACTAATTTGCACTCCCACCAACAGTGTAAAACTATTCCTATTTCTCTACATCCTCTCCAGCATCTGTTGTTTCCTGACTTTTTAATGATCACCATTCTAACTGGTGTGAGATGATATCTCATTGTGGTTTTGATTTGCATTTCTCTAATGATCAGTGACGATGAGTTTTTTTCATGTTTGTTGGCTGCATAAATGTCTTGAGAAGTGTCTGTTCATATCCTTTGCACACTTTCTGATGGGGTTGTTTGTTCTTGTAAATTTACTTAAGTTCCTTGTAAATTCTGGATATTAGCCCTTTGTCGGATGGATAGATTGCAAAAATTTTCTTCCATTCTGTAGGTTGCCTGTTCACTCTGCCTGGTCATATGCAGAAAACCGAAACTAGACCCCTTGCTGACACTTATACAAAAATTAACTCAAGATGCATTAAAGATTTAAACGTGAGACCTAAAACCAGAAAAATCCTAGAAGAAAACCTAGGCAACACCATTGAGGACGTAAGCATGGGCAAAGACTTCATGACTAAAACACCAAAAGAAATGGCAACAAAAGCCAAAATTGACAAAAGGTATCTAATGAAACTAGAGAGCTTCTGCACAGCATGACTGTATTTCAGTGCACGTTTACCACCGAGCTCTTAACGCTCCACCACTGTCCTGTGTCATTAGGATCCCAGCTCTGCAGCCATTCCTCTAGTTGGGCCTGGGTCGGCTCTGGGATGCCGCGGGGGGGCCGGTCGGCGGCGGAGGGGCCAGTGGGGACCCGGGGCAGGGGCGGAGACCCCTCCCACTGCACATCCCACTGCCTGGGTATCTGGCCCCCAACCGGCCTGCCCGCTGCTCCCACCTCCCATGGTGGGTCGGGGGCTGAGGGCTGGGGACTGGGGCAGGGTACCCCAAATATCTCTCGGTGGCGATCGCTCAGTCCGTGCAGTCCATCCAGCTCCTGCATTGTCCGTCCTACCAATAACCTCTCACTTGCAATTCTCAGCCCCTTCCTGCATTGTCTCCCTGTGAGACCTACTAGAACCCCCGCCTTTCACACTGCTGACCTGCTGGGGGAAAATGCACAGAGGCAGAGACGAGGCCACGCGGGAGTCCTGATCTCTAACCCCAGCCGGTCTCAGGCCTTGCCGAGGCAACGCTGCTTCCCCAGACACTCTCCCTTTCCCATTCTTTTTTTTTTTTTTTTTTGAGTTGGAGTCTCGCTTTGCCACCCAGTCTGGAGTGCAGCGGCGCGATCTCAGCTCACTGCACCCTCCACCTCCTGGGTTCAAGCGATTCTCCTGCCTCAGCCTCCCAAGTAGCTGGGATTACAGGCACACACCACCATGCCTGGCTAATTTTTGTATTTTTAGTAGAGATGGGGTTACACCATGTTGGCCAGGCTGGTCTCAAATGCCCGACTTCAGGTGATCCACCCGCCTCGAGCTCCCAAAGTGCTGGGATTACAGGCGTGAGCCATCGCGCCTGCCTTTACTTTCCCATTCTTAACGCCTCCCGTTTCAGACCTGTCCCCTTTTCCCCGCATTTCTGACTGTCACGGCACATCACAACCAGCAGACAGGGCTTCCCCTATTTCACAGGAGAAATAGAAGCCATCAGATGGGACCTCCTTCAAAGTCCTGCCACCAAACCTCAGCATGTACCTGGACCCACATGTATCCTCTTTTCCTTTGGGATTGAATTAGAGAGGTGCCGCTCGAAACCCGCTCCTGGGTGGGAGTCTTGGCTCTATCAGTTATGCCTCTATTCTGTATGTTTAACCTCGCCCTCGTAGGGGCATAAAACAGCATTTAAACAGGATCAAGCTTTCCATTTTAAAACTCCATACACTCCCTTAATTTCATCTCCTCCTCCACCTACTGCCCCATGTCTCTCCCTCTTCCTGGCTAAACGTCTCAAAAAAGTGGATACACTTTCTGTCAACTCCTAAACACTCCTCACGCTCATTTGGCCTCTGCTCCTCCCTTCCTCCTCCCACTTCATTGGAACTACTTCTGCCAAAGAGGATCCCTGAGTCAGCCTGACTGGTAACCCCAATGGACTCTACTCAATATGCAACATCCTTCACTTCTTAGCAGAGTTTGAAACAGCCTGACTCTCCTCTTCTGGCAACATTCTTTTCCTTGGTTTGGGGACGCTGTACTGTTCTGGTTTTGCCCCTCCCTCCGAGCATTCCTTGTGTTTGTCCTGGCCCATTTTCTCCTCTCATTCTACATCCTCTCCCCGGGGATTTTAGCTTCTCTCACGGCTCAGGTTACCATCTCCATAGTGATGACTATCAAATTCTGTACCTCATTTCCAGAGGCTCCTGACAGACTTGCTTGGTCAATATACTACTGGACATATTCATGAGACTGTCTCACACAGGCATCTCGAACCCAGTGTGTCCCACAATTCTCTTCCTATCCATGCCTGTTCCTCTTCCACTGCCTCATATGTCGGTGACTGTCCACCTTCTCTCTCTCTCCCCCTCTCCGTTTGGCTCATAGGAAAAGTGTCACCAAGGGCTGTAAGTGCAGATTTCTAATTATCCCCTAAATTTGAACATTTTTCCTCTCGAAAGTGTATGGCCATTACCCTATTACAGATCAACATCTTCAATCACTGGAATGATGGCAATAATCTAATTGGGTTCATTTTATCCTCTATCTAACAATGACAACTCATTGCCTACACAGCAGGTAGAAGGAGTTTGTTTTCAGAATTGCCCTCTGACCTATTTAAGACGCTCAGATATTCCCTGAGGCTCCTTGGCCTGGCCACAAAGGCCCTACACATTCTGGCTGCTTCCTCCTTTCCAGCATCCTCTCTCACGTCTCCTCTCCTCAGTTCCACCCTCAGGAGGCACCAGAATTCCTCACTTCTTTGACTACAAGGCACCGTCTTACTCCCAAGACCAGTGAATCCGAAGGTGGACCACCAGCTGAGGGACTAGATTCCAGACTGAATAGAACAACTTTCCCTGTCTCTCCACATAAAGTGTGTTTGTTTTTCCTCTTACAGGTTTCCTTAATGACAACAAAAAAGGGAGTAATCCTACCCACTGTAAGAGTCATGACTCTTGATTGCAGCTGACAGAAACTCATGACAGCCTGCTTTAGATGAAGGGGGAGAGAAGGACTGGAAGAATCTTGGAGTTGGGAATGTCACACGTAATTGAAGGAAGAACAAGAAAACTATAGTAAAGAACCCTGGGGTGGTGATGTAGTCATGGGCCAAGTGTCCTGGAACCCTGGGGTGGTGATGTAGTTGTGGGCCAAGTGTCCTGGAACCCTGGGGTGGTGATGTAGTCATGGGCCAAGTGTCCTGGAACCCTGGGGTGGTGATGTAGTTGTGGGCCAAGTGTCCTGGGTTTTGGGTGGAGAAAGAGTCCCCTAGATAAGTTATTAGGTGGGTGCAAAGGTAATTGCAGTTTTTCCCATTATTTTAATTGCGAAAACAGCAATTACCTTTGCACCAACCTGATGGAGTCCCCCTTGCCATGCTTCTCTCTGTGAAAAACCCCAAGCCGAAGTCAGCATAACATCCACAGGACTCTATGTTTGCAAAAGCCAGCTTAGCTATATTACATGTATAAGCACATTTTTTCAATAAGTCAGCCTTAGCTTACTGTAACTTTTTAACTTTATAAACTTAGTATTTTAACTTTTTAAACTTTTTTGTTGAAAACTAAGACACAAAAACACATGTTAGCCTAGATCCACACAGGGTCAGGGTCATCAGTATCACTGTCTTCCACCTCCACATTTTGTCTCTCTGGAAGGTCTTCAGGGGCAATAACACACATGGAGCTGTCATCGCCTGTGGTAACAATGCCTTCTACAGTACTTCCCAAAGGGCCTGCTAGTTCACTTAATTCTTTTATAGAGAGAAGGAGTACACTCTAAAACACTGATCAATAGTATATTATAGTAAATACATAAACCAGGAACACATTTATTATCATTATCACGTATTGTGTATTGTACAGAATGGTGTGTGCTGTGCTATCCAGGAACACATTTATTATCATTATCAAGTATTGTGTACTGTACAGAATGGTGTGCGCTGTGCTTTTATGCAAGTGGCAGCACAGTAGCTTTACACGAGCATCACTAGACACATGAGTAGCATTGCACTCGGCAACAGGAATTTTTTCAGGCCCATTATTATAATCTTATGGGACCGCATCCTATATGCAGTTTGTCATTGACCAAAATGTCCTTATGCGATGCATGACTATATTTGCAAAGGACTAGTATCTAGAATACATTTAAAAGTCTTAAAATAGTAACAAAACAAAGAATGCAATTAGAACATGAGCAAAAGATACAAAGCAACATTTCACTGGAGAAGATATACAGATTGCAAATAAGCACATGAAAAGATGTTTGATACCATTAGGGAAACGCTTCTTTAAACCAGGAGATATCACCACGTGTTAGAATCAACAAAATAAGGCCAGGCATGGTGGCTCACACCTGTAATCCCAACACTTTGGGAGGCTGGGGCAGGCAGATCACATGAGATCAGGAATTCAAGACCAACCTGGCCAACATGGCAAAACCCTGTCTCTGCTGAAAACACAAAAATTAGCCAGGTGTGGTGGCACACGCCTGTAGTCCTAGCACCTTGGGAGGCTGAGGCAAGATAATTGCTTAAACCCAGGAGACGGAGGTTGCAGTAAGCTGAGATCATGCCACTGCGCTCCAGCCTGGGCGACAGAGCAAGATTATGTCTCAAAAAAAAAAAAAAAAAAAAGAATCACCAAAATAAAAAATAGTAACAATACTATTGTCAAGGATGCAAAGGAACTGTACCACTCAATCACTGCTGTGAGAATTTAAAGTGGTGCAGCCACTCTGGGAAACAGCTTGGCTGTTTTTTTTTATGACTGAATGTGCAACTACTATATGATGCAGTAATTTCATTTTTGCACATTTATCCCGGAGAAATGAAAACATATATTCACACAAAACCTGTATATGAATGCTAATAAAAGTCAATTGGCCAGGTGTGGTGGCTCATGCCTGTAATCCCAGCACTTTGGGAGGCTGAGGCAGTGGATCACCTGAGGTCAGGAGTTTGAGACCAGCCTGGCCAACGTGGTGAAAACTCGTCTCTACTAAAAATACAGCAATTAGCTGGGTGTAATAGTAGCCACCTGTAATCCCAGCTACTGGGGAGGCTGAAGCAGAAGAACCTCTTGAACCCGGGAGGCAGAGGTTGCAGTGAGCTGAGATCGTACCACTGCACTCCAGCCTGGGCGATAGAGTGAGACTCTGTCTCAAAAAATAAAATAAAATAAATAAAAAGATTAGATAATCTGCAAAGTTCCTGTGAGCGCTGTCATTTTGTCACTCTGGTTTTTCAGATTCTTCCCCTGGAGGCTGGAGTTTCCAGGATGTCAAAATTACCTCTGCTTGGGTGAGCTATTTCAAGCAGCTGGGATACCTGTGTCACTCCTGCTGTCTGCCAGTGACTGCCCAGGTGTCTGCTGGTTCCTCCCCAGGAGTAGGGAGGAACCAGGTGGGCTGGCTGGGATGGGTGGATATTTAAAGACCAGGCCTTGGACGCTGCAGCACTTCTATCTCTGCTTGATGCCTGCTGCCACGTGGCTGGTCCTCCTCCTCCTGCTGTGGCTGAGCCTTGGGGTGAAGACAGGTGAGGAGCTAGGCTGGCATCTGTGCTACAGGTCAAAGAGACCCCAATCTCTGCTCTCTCATTCATTCAATCAATTAATCTGTTTTGTCTCTGGCATGACCCACCTCCTGTGACCCAGCATTCATTAATTCATTAATCAAATAATTCATGTATTCAGACACTTATTAAGTACCGACTATATGGTTGATGTGGCTTCTTTGTGTATCCAGTTTTATATCTGGATAAGATGTCTTTGGATGATCAGCTTGGGAGGGTCTAGTATCCAGAGGATGCTCCCTCGGATAGAGGCAGCGTGGGCACTGTGGGTGGCTGGGGTGGACGGGACAGGAGGGAAGGTAGGTGTGATAAACCCAGATCCAGATTAACAGGCAGACTCACTGGGCAATTTCCAGGCACCAGTCTACTGGGTTTATTCAAACATCCCTGGAAATACAACAGGGTGAATACAGTTGCATTTACTAGAACTTCTCTCTCTCTCTCCTCTCTCTCTCTTTTTAATTTTTTTTTTTCCAGACAGAGTCTGCTCTGTCCCCCGCCAGGCTGGAGTGCAGTGGTACGATCTCGGCTCACTGCAACCTCCACCTTCTGGGTTCAAGCCATTCTCCTGCCTCAGCCTCCCGAGTAGCTGGGATTATAGGCATGCACCACCATGCCTGGCTAATTTTTGGCATTTTAAATAGAGACAGGGTTTCGCCATGTTAGCCAGGCTAGTCTTGAACTTCTGACTTCAGGTGATCTGCCCACCTCCGCCTCCCAAAGTGTTGGGATTACAGGTGTGAGCCACCGTGCCTGGCCCTAGAACTTCTCTTGGGAGAAAACTAGATGTCATTGGTAGGAACACAGTCAGCTGTTGCTTAATGATGGAGACACATTCTGAGAAATGCATCATCAGATGATTTCTTTGTTGTATGAATATCATAGAGTTCACACAACAATGAAATCGAGAGTTTACATAAACCTAGATGGTTTATATATATATTTATTTACATGTTTGTTTTCCACATGGAAAGCCACATGTCCCAGCACATGTCCCATTACTGAACATCAGTCATTTCCCCTGCTTGATCCTCAAGGCCAATATCGAGCACCATATATCGGGTTTCTGCATATGCCCTATTATAATCTTATGGGGCCACCGTCATATATATGGTCCATCATCGGTCTAAACATCGTGATGTGGCACAAGGCTGTACTTCTTGGCTGGGTGCGGTGGCTCACGCCTGTAATCCCAGCACTTTGAGAGGCCGAGACGGGTGGATCACTTGAGGTCAGGAGTTCAAGACCAGCCTGGGTAACATGGTGAAATACCATCGCTATTAAAATACAAAAATTAGCCAGGTGTGGTGGTGGGTGCCTGTAATCCCAGCTACTTGGGAGGCTGAGGCAGGAGAATCACTTGAACCTGGGAGACAGAGGTTGCAGTGACCCGAGATTGCGCCACTGCGCTCTAGCCTGGGTGACAGAGGGAGACTCCATCTCAGGAAAAAAAAAAAAAAAAAACCCAAAGCTATTTATTGTGGAAAAATTCAAACACATGCAAAAGTAAAGAGAATAGGATGATGAACCCAAGGTACCAGTTGGCCACCTTCAATATTATCAACATTATGCTCAAGCTCTTATCCCCCATATTTAAAAAATATAACCACAATACCTTATCAGAGCCAAAACAAATATGGTCGCACACCTGTAATCCCAACACTTTGAGAGACTGAGGCGGGCAGATCGCCTGAGGCCAGAAGTTCAAGACCAGCCTGGCCAACATGGTGAAACCCCTGTGTCTACTAAAAATACAAAAATTAGCTAGGCATGGTGGCGGGTACCTGTAATCCCAGCTACTCGGGAGGCTGAGGCAGGAGAATCACTTGAACCAGGGAGGTGGAGGTTGCAGTGAGCCGAGATTGCGCCACTGCACTCCAGCCTGGGCAACAGAGCAAGACTCTGTCTTTAAAAAAAAAATTAATTAATTAATTAATTTAAAAAACTACTTACTATCGTTTAATACCTATCAGTGTTCATATTTCCCCCACTTGTCAAAAATATCTTGTTATTCAGCAGCAAAGCAGAAGAGAAAAAGAAAAAATAAGATCAGATGTGGTGGCTGATGCCTGTAGTCCCAGCACTTTGGGAGGCCAAGGTGGGAGGATCACTGGAGCTCAGGAGTTTGAGACCAGCCTGGGTACAATAGCGAGACTCAGTCTCTACAAAAAAAAAATTTGTTTAAAAATTAGCAAGGTGTGTTGATGTTCACCTATAGTCCCAGCTATTCAGAAGGCTGAAGTGAGAAAATTGCTTGAGCCCCAGAAGTTGCGGCTGCAGCGAGCTGTGACCATACCACTGCATTCCAGTCTGCTGCACCGAGTGAGACCATGTCTCAAAAAAAAAAAAAAAAAAAAAAAAAAAAGAAAGAAAGAAAAATGCCTTTTTACAGCTGGTTTATTCAAGTCAAGATCCAAAAAAGATACGCACACATGTTTAACTAGCATATTTCTTAAATGTCTTTAAATCTATACCTAGATCAGTGCCATTTTTTCATGTCATTTAGCTGTTGAACGAACCAGGTACTGTGTCCTGCGGCATATCCTACCTTCTGGGTTTGACTGATTGAATCTTTGTGGATGTCCCTCTGCCTCTGTCTTTCCTGAACTCTGGTAGTTGAGATCAGGACTGGAGATTTCTTAGGCAGGAAGAATCCATAGGTGGGTACTTCCTATCGCACCTCGAAGGAGACACAAAGTGTCCAGCTGTCCCACTTTTACTGGTGTTAAACTTCATCCACCAGATAGTGCACCCATTATAAAATTCTGTCCACTAATGATTTGTGCTGAGATCCACTTCTCATTAGGGGCTGCCAAGTAGTGCTTTTCTATCATTCTTTCTGCACTTGTTAGCCGAAGGTTCTCTGTCGTGAAGATATTTCCCTTGTCAACTATTTGGCTTGGATGGAAAGGCTGGATCAATGTTTGATTCTTTATTTTTCATCTTCATAATAATGAGCTAGCTCCTCGGCACCCCGGGGGAAGTTGTCTTCAAATGCTGCCTTGAAGCATAGAATATTTAATTCTAATGGATATGGGAGGGAAGGGCCTTCCAAGCCGAGGGAAGAGCTTGAGCAAAGGCTCAGAGGCAGGAGAATGCAGGGTGTTTAGAGAACAGCAGAGCTCCGTAGCACGTGCAACAAGAGGCTTTTTGAGTGAGGACCCTGAGCACGATATGGTGGGAAAGCAGGGGAGAGGTCAGGATTGCTGGTTTGACTCCCAGCCATGGGCAAAAGGTTCTCCCCTTGTCTATACAATGAGGACATCTCTCTAGATCAGTGGCTTTCCAACGTTTCTGGCCCCAGTTCACTTTAATAAATACATTTTATACTCTGACCCAGTAAGTGCATCTGTGTGTATAAAAACCAACAGAAATTTCAAAAAGAACTCAGTTGACTTTTACATACAATGTATGTGGGTCTATTCTATTCTATTTCATTCAGTGTCATCCTGTTGAAATAAATGTTGGTTATGACCACTGAATTGAACTCAGTCTCACAGATTGTCGGCAACCTTAGTCTGGGTGGCTCCTGGGGCTCTATTTCCACTCCAGCCCTTTCTGGTTGATCCCTGGTCTTGGTGACAACCTGACGCAGCACCAGGCTCTGGAGAAGAGGGACAACATGAGAAGAGAAGCTGATCACTTGCAGGAGGCTCCTGAGCTGAACATGAGGCAAAAGCCAGGCCAAACTCAGAGGCTGTGGCCCCAGCCAGGCCACCCTCACCTTCAGAGTCTTGACCCCCCAGACCACACTACCGGACACCTGCTGGCCCTGTTTCCACAACAGACTGGCTCAGCCACACCCAGGCCCACAGGGCTCAGAGGCCTGCTCCCTGTTGATCGTGTCAACTTTGAAAGGCCTTCAAGTTTATCCCTAAACAAAGCCCTCCAGTTTAGCCCTAAAGAGCCAGGTGTTAACCTAACAGGAAGCAATTTGGAAGGTCAAAGTCAAGTAGACGGAGAAGAGTGTTGAGAGTCCTGGGGTGACAACACCTGGGTCCCCTGCTCACCTGAGCCACAGACTCGCCAGGTAACTGGGCCAGCGTCCCTCCTGCCCACGCCTTGCTTGCCGCACTCTTAAAGAAGATGCATCCCCTTCTCTTGGAGGGAATGACAATGACCAGATCACAACTGAGCTGAGCAATTTGGGGAAATTTGGGCAGGGGGTAGAGTTGGCAGAACTGGTTTGTAAACAGGGCTCTGGAAGACCTTCCTCTAACTGTGGGGAGTGGGGGAGGGGTTTCTCTCCCTCTTAGGCACTCTCTTCTCTGCTGTTTTCTCTATTTCTCTCTTCGCTGTCACTCCCATTACCGTCCTCATCTTATCTCCCCCTTTTCTCTCCTTCTCTCTCTCTCTGTTTAATAACAGCTTTATTGAGAGATAATTTACAGGATGTGAGATTTACCCTTTTGTACAATTCACCATGTGTACATTTCAGTGTTGTTCAGTGTATTCACAGGGTTGCAGAACCATCACTGCTGTCTTATTTTATTTTTTTGGCACTTTTTGGTAGAGACAGGGTTTTGCCACGTTGGCCAGGCTAGTCTCAAACTCCTGACCTCAAATGATCTGCCCGCCTCGGCCTCCCAAAGTGCTGGGATTACAGGTGTGAGCCACTGCGCCTGGCCACCTCTGTCTAATTTCAGAACATGTTTGTTATGCCCCAAATAAACTCTGACCCATCAGCAGTCACTGCCTGGTCCACACATCTCACCAGCCCCTGGCAACCACTAATATACTTTCTGTCTTGATGGATTTGTCTATTCTAAACATTTCATATAAATGGAATCATACAATACACGGCCTTTTGTGAGTGGCTTCTTTCACTTAGCATGTTTTCAAGTTTCATTGTTGTTGTGGCATGCATCTGTACTTCATTCCTTTTTATGGCTGAGTAATATCCCATTATATGGATATACCAGATTTAGTTTTAGCCATTCATCAGTTGAAGGGCATTTGAATTGTTTCTACTATTTGGCTATTATGAATAACACTGCTATGAATATTCATTGATAGGTTTTTGTGTGAACATGTGTTTTTAATTCTCCTAACTACAGGCTCAGAAGTAGGGTTTCTGGGTCATATGGCAACTCTATGTTTACATTCTGAGAAACTGTCAAATTGTTTTTCTTTTTTTTCTTTTTTTTTTTTATTCTTTTCTGCTGCCACCTCATCTCCCCAAATTGATTTTCAAAGTGGCTGCACCATTTTGCAATTCCACCAGCAGTGTATGAGGGTTCCAATTTCTCCACACCCTCAGCAACACTTCAACACTTGCTTTTTTTTTTTTTTTTTTTGAGATGGGGTCTCGCTCTGTCGCCAGGCTGGAGTGCAGTGGCGTGATCTCAGCTCACTGCGACCTCTGCCTCCTGGGTTCAAGAGATTCTCGTGCCTCAGCCTCCTGAGTAGCTGGGACTACAGGTGCATGCCACCACACCCAGCTAATTTTTGTATTTTTAGTAGAGACGGGTTTCACTATGCTGGCCAGGATGGTCTCAAACTCCTGAACTCGTCATCCACCCATCTCAGTGTTCCCAAGTGCCGTGATTACAGGTGTGAGCCACCCCACCCAGCCAACACTTGCTGTTTTATTTTTTATCTTAGCCGTCCTACTGGATGTGGGGTGGTATCTCATTGTGGTTTGGATTTGCATTTCCTTATGATTAATGATGTTGAGTATCTTTCATGCTCACTGGCCACTTGTGTATCTTCTTTGGAGAAATGTCTATTTAAATCCTTTGTCCAGTTTTAAATTTGATTGACTTATTTTTATTTATTTATTTATTTTGGAGGCAGAGTCTTGCTCTGTTGCCCAGGCTGGAGTGCAGTTGTGCAATCTTGGCTCACTGCAACCTCCACCTCCTGGGTTCAAGCAATTCTCCTGCCTCAGCCTCCTGAGTAGCTGGGACTATAGGTGCATGCTACCAAGCCCAGCTAATTTTTGTGTTTTTAGTAGAGACGGGTTTCACCATGTTGGCCAGGCTGGTGTTGAACTCCTGGCCTCAAGTGATCTGCCTGCCTTGGTCTCCCAAAGTGCTGGGATTACAGGCATGAGCCACCGCACCCAGCCAGTTTCAGCTCTTACATTTAGGTCTATGGTCCATTTTGAGTTAATATTTGTATATGGTTTGAGGTAGGAGTCCAAATGCATTCTTTTGCATGTGCTTATCCAGTTGTCTAAGCACCATTTGTTAAATCTATCTTTTCTTTTCCTTTTTTTTTTTTTTTTTTTTTTTTTGAGACAGGGTCTTGCTCTGTCACCCAGGCTGAAGTGCGCTGGTGTGATCATGGCTCACTTCAGCTTCCTGCGTCTGGGCTCAAGTGATCTCCTGTCTCAGCCTCCTGGGTAGCTGGGACTACAGGCGTGCACCACCATACCTGGCTAATTTTAATCTTTTTTTTTTTTTTTAATGTTCCTTTTTCTCCAGGCAGCTGCTCCCAACCCCAGAACCTTTGCTGTCTTGGGACGGATCACCGCTGCAAGAGGGGAAGTTGCTACTGTGATGAATTCTGCCATGTGGCACCAGACTGCCACCCAGACCACAGTGTCCTCTGCAACCCTGGTAACTCACATACAGGCCCGATTCCACCTACAGCAAAGCTGGATGCGATGGCTGGCAGAGGCAAACCCTTTGCCTGCACTTCAGGCCAAAGCCGGGATGTGGCCTAGATGGTTCCTAAGGTCCCTGACAATCCTGAGATCTTGCATCTTGTCTATTTCAGGTCAAAGGTGCCTACATGCTCCTTCTAGCTTTGTTTCCCTGATGTTCCTTGCCACCTGCTACTCCTCTCTGAGCTACTTTTCCAGGTTCCACAGGGAGAGGTTCAGCTGTCCGTGGTAGACATGAGGGTAGAGAATGAGGTGGTTGGGTTCCACTTACCTTTCTATCATCTTGCAGTATGGATGTCTCTTGACTGGTACCGTGTAGACTTTTGAGGGCACACAGGAGTCTGCAGAGAGATACTGGGGACATTGAGCAGCAGCAGTGGGGTTGGGAGGCAGAAATGAGGACAGGAACATTTACCTTGTGTTTCTCTCAGCTTCTCAGATGACCAAGATGGTGCTGCAGATGGTGCTGAGGATGGAGAACCCACCAAGCCCCGCTAGGAGCCACCTAGACTGGATGCAGAGCATGGTGAGCTCCCTGCAGGTTCTCTGAGAAGGGGTGGATGGCAGCCTGCTCCTTGCCTTTGTGCCCTCCAGGCCCCAAAGTCAGGGAACCAAAAGAAGAAAGGGGCCGTAGCTAGGGCAGAGCTCCACTGCAATGATTGTTTTAGGGGTAGGAGCCAGGATTGCCGTCTGTGGACACTGAAATTTGAATCTCATATACTTTTGTGACAAAACATTCTTCCTCTTTTGTTCTTCTCCTACCATCTAAAAATGTAGAAAACATTCTTAGCCTATGAGTTGCACAAAAACAGGCAGTGGCCAGATTTGGCCCATAGACCATAGTTTGCTGACTTCTGCCCTAAATCATCCTCCATTTCTTTCCTTCTGTGTCCTTGTTACTGACAAAGCCACTTTCCCTAAAATGGGGTCTTTCCCTGTTTGGTGCCATGAAGCCAATATGCAAAACCGAAAGTGAGCCTCAAGCAGTGCAGGCTTTATTTGGTGGCCATGGAATTGAGAAGTGAGAGCTTGGCTCACAAATCAACTTTTCTGCTCGTGAGACCCAGGAAGTCACAGATACAGGGCATCTTTAGTGAAGGGGCTGAGCATTAAAAGCAAGGGGAGGAGTGGCCAGGTGCAATGGCTCACTCCCATAAACCCAGAACTTTGGGAGGCCAAAATGAGAGGATTGCTGAGACCAGGAGTTCGAGACCATCCTGGTCAACATAGTGATACACCCCCATCTCTACAAAAATAAAAATGAAAAAAGCAAGGGGAGGAATCATGTGTTTTCTGGGTCTGGGTGGAGAAATTTTCAAAACCAGAGTGCCACCTTCCTATTTGTTTTTTTATGTTATTTTTTCCCATCATTGTCATGTTGGTTGTTGACTGTTACGGTGTTAGTGGGACTGTCATTTAACATGGAAATTAGATTATAATGAAGTTAGAGGTCAAATGAGCTGCCATCTTGGATTCCATCAGTCTTAGCTGGTTTGATCACCAGGGAGAAGTTTGGACCTCAGGCATCCTGCTTCCTAAAGATAAACAGTGTTAAGGCAGGGTAGATATTCACGGAGGTCATGTGGGTATTGCACTGGATGACATCTTGGCTTCAGCCCTGATCTGTTCAGAGCCCTCAGCACGGTACTGGAGGAGAGGCCTTGGGCCGCATCGTGGCATATTGTGGCTTTGGGGAGAAAGAAAAGCAGATAGTGCAATGGAAAGAGCGTGGACTTGAGAGTCAGACTTGACTTCAACTCCTAGCTCTACCACTTACCACCTAGGTGACCTCAAGCCACTTTCTCAGCCTTTCTGAGACTCTGTATCCTCATGTGTATCCTAGAGTTTGTCTGATAGGGCTATAGTGAGAATTAATTGAATTAAGTATAGTGAGAATTAAGCCAGGTCTGGAGAGGCCTGGCTACTGGTGAGTGAGGTAACTGAGATCAGGTATGGAGAGGACTGGCTCCTGGTGAGTGAGTTAATTGAGATGAGGTATGGAGGGACCTGTCTCCTGGTGACTGAGTTAATTGAGATGAGGTGTGGAGGGACCTGGCTCCTGGTGAGTGAGTTAATTGAGATCCATTAGGGAGGGACCTGGCTCCTGGCGAGTGAGTTAATTGACACCCGGTATGGAGGGACCTGGCTCCTGGCGAGTGATTTAATTGAGACCCGGTGTGGAGGGACTTGGCTCCTGGTGAGTGAGTGAATTGAGATGAGGTATGGAGGGACCTGTCTCCTGGTGAGTGAGTTAATTGAGATGAGGTGTGGAGGGACCTGTCTCCTGGTGAGTGAGTGAATTGAGATCAGGTATGGAGGGACTTGGCTCCTAGTGAGTGAGTTAATTGAGACTCGGTGTGGAGGGACTTGGCTCCTGGTGAGTGAGTGAATTGAGATGAGGTATGGAGGGACCTGGCTCCTGGTGAGTGAGTGAATTGAGACCCGGTGTGGAGGGACCTGTCTCCTGGTGAGTGAGTTAATTGAGATGAGGTATGGAGGGACCTGTCTCCTGGTGAGTGAGTGAATTGAGATCAGGTATGGAGGGACTTGGCTCCTGGTGAGTGAGTTAATTGAGATGAGGTGTGGAGGGACCTGGCTCCTGGTGAGTGAGTTAATTGAGATGAGGTATGGAGGGACCTGTCTCCTGGTGAGTGAGTTAATTGAGATGAGGTATGGAGGGATCTGGCTCCTGGTGAGTCAGTGAATTGAGATCAGGTATGGAGGGACTTGGCTCCTGGTGAGTGAGTTAATTGAGATGAGGTGTGGAGGGACCTGGCTCCTGGTGAGTGAGTGAATTGAGATCAGGTATGGAGGGACCTGGCTCCTGGTGAGTGAGTGAATTGAGATGAGGTGTGGGGGGACCTGTCTCCTGGTGAGTGAGTGAATTGAGATGAGGTGTGGAGGGACCTGTCTCCTGGTGAGTGAGTGAATTGAGATCAGGTATGGAGGGACTTGGCTCCTGGTGAGTGAGTGAATTGAGATGAGGTGTGGAGGGACCTGTCTCCTGGTGAGTGAGTTAATTGAGATGAGGTATGGAGGGACCTGGCTCCTGGTGAGTGAGTGAATTGAGATCAGGTATGGAGGGACCTGGCTCCTGGTGAGTGAGTGAATTGAGATGAGGTGTGGAGGGACCTGGCTCCTGGTGAGTGAGTTAATTGAGATGAGGTGTGGAGGGACCTGGCTCCTGGTGAGTGAGTTAATTGAGATGAGGTGTGGAGGGACCTGGCTCCTGGTGAGTGAGTTAACTGAGATGAGGTATGGAGGGACCTGGCTCCTGGTGAGTGAGTGAATTGAGATCAGGTATGGAGGGACCTGACTCCTGGTGAGTGAGTTAATTGAGATGAGGTGTGGGGGGACCTGGCTCCTGGTGAGTGAGTTAATTGAGATGAGGTATGGAGGGACCTGTCTCCTGGTGAGTGAGTGAATTGAGATGAGGTATGGAGGGACCTGGCTCCTGGTGAGTGAGTTAATTGAGACCCGGTATGGAGGGACCTGGCTCCTGGCAAGTGAGTTAATTGAGACTCGGTGTGGAGGGACTTGGCTCCTGGTGAGTGAGTTAATTGAGATGAGGTATGGAGGGACCTGTCTCCTGGTGAGTGAGTGAATTGAGATGAGGTATGGAGGGACCTGGCTCCTGGTGAGTGAGTGAATTGAGATCAGGTATGGAGGGACTTGGCTCCTGGTGAGTGAGTTAATTGAGATGAGGTATGGAGGGACCTGGCTCCTGGTGAGTGAGTTAATTGAGATGAGGTGTGGAGGGACCTGGCGCCTGGTGAGTGAGTGAATTGAGACCCGGTGTGGAGGGACCTGGCTCCTGGTGAGTGAGTTAATTGAGATGATGTATGGAGGGACCTGGCTCCTGGTGAGTGAGTTAATTGAGATGAGGTGTGGAGGGACCTGGCGCCTGGTGAGTGAGTGAATTGAGACCCGGTGTGGAGGGACCTGGCTCCTGGTGAGTGAGTTAATTGAGATGATGTATGGAGGGACCTGTCTCCTGGTGAGTGAGTTAATTGAGATGAGGTGTGGAGGGACCTGGCTCCTGGTGAGTGAGTTAATTGAGATGAGGTATGGAGGGAACTGGCTCCTGGCGAGTGAGTGAATTGAGACCCGGTGTGGAGGGACCTGGCTCCTGGTGAGTGAGTTAATTGAGATGAGGTGTGGAGGGACCTGGCTCCTGGTGAATGAGTTAATTGAGATGAGGTGTGGAGGGACCTGGCTGCTGGTGAGTGAGGTATGGAGGGACCTGGCTCCTGGTGAGTGAGTTAATTGAGGTCAGGTATGGAGGGACCTGGCTCCTGGTGAGTGAGTTAATTGAGATCAGGTATGGAGGGACCTGGCTCCTGGTGAGTCTCCTGGAGGCAGCTGCTATCTGGGAACACAGGCACAGGTGGGAACAGACCTTCACTTCCTGCTCACTTAGGTTCAGCGAGTTCTCCAAACCAGCCTCCCAGGAATGCCATTCACCATGGCTGTGAGGAGAATAAAGAAGAGAGCCTGACTCCTCTTCTGAGGCCCCTTCCCCACCCTGAGCCAGCAGGATCCACGGAGCAGAGGTCATCTGTCCCCAGCTTGGCCCACTGAGGCCAGCATGGCTGGGCCCAGGATGCTTGTCTCTCAGCTCCCATCCTGTGTACTTCCACATTGGTTTAACCAGAGGAAAACTGAAATGTACAATTGTCATAAACACATTTAAATGTGCGTAGAATCAGCCATACAAATTGTGAAACATACATTTGGCTCATGGTATTATTCACTGTTTTGTGGTGGTTACAGTGACTATAGCAAACATTTCTTGAAAGTAGAAAATAAGAACCCAGCACCCCTTGAGCTAAGTAATGTGCCCTCTGTCCTCAATATTCCTTCCTGGGCTCCACATTACTGCCCTTAAGTCTGGAAATATTCTGGTCTGAGCCCTGTAGTCCAGGCCTCATGTTCAGGCTTTCTGTCCCCAGTGATGAGAGGAGAGACGGCAGACCTTTCTCCGGTGAGCTCAGATGGGCCTCCCGGAGTCTCCCGGGGTGCACAGGATTTCAAAGATCCAGGAGGCGCTGCCAGGGGCTGTGGGGTCTGATGAACCTCTCACCTTCCCTCCCACACCTGCCGTTTTCCTGTTTCTGTGGATGCTTTTGCTGTCCTTGGCTTCCTGGACTCCAGACCTCAGGGTCATCTTTTGCTTCTCTCTGCAAGGTGCCAAGTCTCTCTAGTTTTTTGTTTGTTTGTTTTGTTATTGAGACGGAGTCTCACTCTATTGCCCAGGCTGGAGTGCAGTGGTGCGATCTCAGCTCACTGCAACTTCCGACTCCCTGGTTCAAGCAAATTCTCCTGCCTCAGCCTCTGGAGTAGCTGGGATTACAGGCGCCCGCCACCACGCCTGGCTGTTTTTTTTTTTTTTTTTAGTAGAGATAGGGTTTCACCATGTTGGCCAGGCTGGTCTCGATCTCCTGACCTCATGATCCACCCGCCTTGGCCTCCCAAAGTGCTGGGATTACAGGAGTGAGCCACTGTGCCCGGCCGTCTCTCTAGTTTTACTTTGCAATGTCGTTCATATCCATCCCCTTTCTAGTGCCACTGCTGAAGTCCTAAGTCACTGCCTCCTAACTGGTCCTCCTACCCTAACTCCTCCCAGACAGGCCTCCTGCCCTAACTCCTCTCTGACCAGTCCTCCTGCCCTGACTTCTCCCTGACCGGTCCTCCTGCCCTAACTCTCTTCCCTGATCGGTCCTCCTGCCCTAACTCCTCCCTGACCGATACTGCTGCCCTAACTCCTCCCTGACCGGTCCTCCTCCCCTAACTCCTCCCTGACCAATACTGCTGCCCTAACTCCTCCCTGACCGGTCCTCCTGCCCTAACTCTCTTCCCTGATCGGTCCTCCTCCCCTAACTCCTCCCTGACCAATACTGCTGCCCTAACTCCTCCCTGACCGGTCCTCCTGCCCTAACTCCTCCGACCGGTCCTCCTGCCCTAACTCCTCCCTGACCCGTCCTACTGCCCTAACTCCTCCGACCGGTCCTCCTGCCCTAACTCCTCCCTGACCCGTCCTACTGCCCTAACTCCTCCCTGACCGGTCCTCCTCCCCTAACTCCTCCCTGACCCGTCCTCCAGCCCTAACTCCTCCCTGACCGGTCCTCCTGCCCTAACTCCTCCCTGACCGGTCCTCCTGCCCTAACTCCTCCCTGACCGGTCCTCCTGCCCTAACTCCTCCCTGACCAGTCCTCCAGCCCTAACTCCTCCCTGACCCGTCCTCCAGCCCTAACTCCTCCCTGACCAGTCCTCCTCCCCTAACTCCTCCCTGACCGGTCCTCCTGCCCTAACTCCTCCCTGACCCGTCCTCCAGCCCTAACTCCTCCCTGACCCGTCCTCCAGCCCTAACTCCTCCCTGACCGGTCCTCCTGCCCTAATCTCCTCCCTGACCAGTCCTCCAGCCCTAACTCCTCCCTGACCCGTCCTCCTCCCCTAACTCCTCCCTGACCAGTCCTCCTGCCCTAAGTCTCCTCCCTGACCAGTCCTCCTGCCCTAAGTCTCCTCCCTGACCCGTCCTCCAGCCCTAACTCCTCCCTGACCTGTCCTCCTGCCCTAACTCCTCCCTGACCCGTCCTCCTGCCCTAACTCCTCCCTGACCAGTCCTCCTCCCCTAACTCCTCCCTGACCTGTCCTCCTGCCCTAACTCCTCCCTGACCCGTCCTCCTGCCCTAAGTCTCCTCCCTGAGTGGTCCTCCTGCCCTAAGTCTCCTCCCTGACTGGTCCTCCTGCCCTAACTCCTCCCTGACTGGCCTCCATCCAAGCAGAGCTTGAGTATTGCTGGTTCCCTGCTCAAACCCACCACTGGTTGCTGGTTCCCTGCTCAAACCCACCACTGGCACTGGCTTCCCATCACATACAGAATAAAGGCTAAATGTCTACGCTTGGCACAGAAAGTCATCAACAGGCCCCAGAGCACGTTTCTGGTGTTATCTTCTGCTAATGCCCTGCCCTCACTCCTATGCTGCAGCTGAATGGAACGAGCCATTATCCCCTCAGGAACGCTGGCTTCTCAGTAAACGATTATAGCCCAGAAGCTCTGTCATCACAGAACCTAGCTATTGGCTAATGGGTCAGCTTTGGCTTCATTTCTCTGAATAATTTATTTCAAAACATAATCCCAAGGAACAAGGTTAGGAAAAGGGGAGGGTGACAGGGACAGAGGGAGAGCCTGTGCAAAGACGTGTTATCCAGTTGGCCCCTGCTGTGGCTGGCTGGTTGCTCAATCCTGTAAGATCTTCTAAGAAGCTTTATGAGATGTAGTGAGAACCATCTGTCCTGGGGATGAGTCTGTCTGTCGGCTTCCATTCCTCATGGGTTATGAGTTGCTCCACAGGATTCTGGATGTATACAGATGCTCTTCATCTTAGGAAGGGGTTACGTCCCAATAAACACGTGGTAAGTCAAAAATACTGTAAGTCAGAAACACATTTAATACCCTGATAAGCCCATCATAAAGTCAAACAATTTTAAATCCAATCATTGTAAGCCAGGACCATCTGTATACCCAAGACATATACAAGGATGTTCATAGCAGCTTTATTCAAAATAGTGAAAAACAAAACAATCCAAATGCACAGCAATTGGAAAACAGACAAATAAATTGTGGTATATTTATACAGTGGAATACTATGCAACAACAAAAAAGGATGAAGCATAATACTACACACAGCGTGAGTGAGTCTCACAGACACAGTGTTAACAGAGAGAATCCAGACACAAAAGAGCCTATCTATGCATGATTCCATTTATATGAAGTTCAAAGACATGCAGAGCTAATCTATGGTGATAGAGATAAGAATGGTGGTTACACTGAAATGGGAGGATCGCTCAAACCCAGGAGGCGGAGGCTGCAGTGAACCATGATGGAGCTGCACTCCAGCTTTGGAGACAGAGCGAGACCCTGTCTCTAAAAAAAAAAAAAAAAAAAAAAAAAAAAAAAAAAAAATGATTGTTCCATTCTGTGGTGGCAAGTGGGGGCTTGACTGGAAGGGAACACAAGGGCACCTGTTGAGGTGCTGAGCACGTTCTGTATCTTGACCTGAGTGTCGGATACATCCTGGGGATACATACGTACATAAAAATTCATCAGGGTATACGCTACTTAAGCTGGGCGTAGTTTACAGTATGTAGGTTACAACATAAAAAAGAAGTGAATGAACCAAAGAATACTGGGCTCCCTGGCGTTTCCTCTTCTGCAACCCAAGGAAATAAGCCTCGGTGTGGAGAGGGCCTGTCCTCAGGGCCTGGCAAATGTAGGCGATTCTTACCACGTCTCCTTCGGTAAGCCCACCTGGCAAGTTCTCATCCACATAATCTGTGCATGCTCAGCATTTGAAACCAGTGGGGACCCATTTGGACCCCAAGAGTTGGTATTAGAGATCATTTTAAAGTGAAAACTGGCCAGGCACGATGGCTTACGCCTGTAATCCCAGCACTTTGGGAAGCTGAGGTGGGCGGATCACATGAGGTCAGGAGTTCGAGACCAACTTGGCCAACATGGTGAAACCCTGTTGACTCAGGATGACTCAGATTAGAGCAGGTGACTGGGGGTGACTCAGGATGGAGCAGGTGATAGAGGCTAGGAGGGGGTTGTTTACTGAAACTAGGGGCAAGGAGATGAAGAAAACGAGGAAGTTAAACTTTAAAATGAAGAGCTGAACATACTGATACATTGATTCTTTGGAGAGGATCTCAGAACTCATTGTACTTAACAATTTACAGGCTAAAACCTTTGAAGAAGAATTTATTATATCCTACAAACCTGGGAGGCAGAGGTTGCAGTGAGCCAAGATTGGGCCATCGCACTCCAGCCTGGGCAATAAGAATGAAACTCTGTCTCAAAAAAAACAAAAGTTGGCCAGGGCTGGGCGTGGTGGCTCACACCTGTAATCCCAGCACTTTGGGGGGCTAAAGCAGGTGGATCACCTGAGGTCAGAAGTACGAGACCATCATGGCTAATATGGTGAAACCCCATCTCTACTAAAAATACGAAAAAAGAAAAAAAAAATTAGCCAAGCACGGTGGTGCACACCTGTTATCCCAGCTGCTTAGGAAGCTGAGGCAGGAGAATTGCCTGATCCCAGAGGCAGAGGTTGCAGTGAACTGGGATTGTGCCACTGCACTCCAGCCCAGGCGACAGAGCAAGATTCTGTCTCAAAAATAAATACATAAATAAAGTTTTAGAGCAGGAATGAAAGGAAGTAAAGTACACTTGGAAGAGCTGTGTTGGCAACTGGAGAGATCCGAGTGCCTCATCTGACCCTTGACTTGGGATTAATACATTGGCATGAGATGTGAGCAGTGACTCAAAGTTGCTCAGAAAAAAATCTTCCCCCGCTATTTAGTACTGCAGCTGGCACCTGCCCTCCCCACACACTGCAGCTGGCACCTGCCCTCCCCACGCACTGCAGCTGGCACCTGCCCTCCCCACACCAGTATTTGGTACTGCAGCTGGCACCTGCCCTCCCCTCTGCTATTTAGTACTGCAGCTGGCACCTGCCCTCCGCACAGCAGTATTTAGTACTGCAGCTGGCACCTGCCCTCCCCACACCAGTATTTAGTACTGCAGCTGGCACCTGCCCTCCCCTCTGCTATTTAGTACTGCAGCTGGCACCTGCCCTCCCCACGTCAGTGTTCAGGATTCTTTCTCCCTGTTTTTCTTTTTTTTCCATAGTTTTCACCTTTCTATAATTCACTTATTTGTTATGTTTATTGTTTTGTGAAAGGAAAATAAATCTTGGGCCCCCAAAGTCACTAAGCTAAAGGGGAAAGTCAAGCCAGGAATGGCTTAGGGCCGACCTGCCCCCCATTCTATTCAAAATCACCCCCTGCTCACTGAGATAGATGCATATCTGATTGCCTTCTTTGGAAAGGCCCATCAGAAACTCAAAAGAATGCGACCTTTGTCTCTCACCCACCTGTGACCTGGAAGCTTTCTCCTGGCTGCGAGTTGTCCCACGTTTGCTTGGCGTTGCCCGGCCTTTTCCAGACTGAACCAATGTTCATCTTACATGTGTTGATTGATGTCTCATGTCTCCCTAAAACGTATGACCACCTTGGCACATGTCGTCAGGACATCCTGAGGCTGTGTCACGGGTGTGCATCTTCAACCTTGGAACAATAAACTTTCTAAATTAACTGAGACCTGTCTCAGATTTGGGGGGTTCACATTTTGGTAACCATGGAGGGATTCTGAGTTGAGGTGCCCCTGACCTTTGACAGATCTATTGGTGCTTGGTAGCAGCATGAGCTAACCTTATGGCTCAAACCAACAGGACAATTTGCTGAGGTCTGGGAGCACCCCCTCCAGAGAGTCCCTGATCTCTCAAAACTTGGTCGTGATCTAAAGTTTATTTGATGTACAACTCCCCCTCCCCTTCTTTTGGAGTTTTATTTGCTTCCAAGAAGGAAGGCAAGATTTCCTGGGTCCGTGATGATGGAAGGCTGACAACTCTTTTATGGAGTTTGAGCTTGCTCCCAGCAGGGAAGACAAGTTCGAGTTTTTTTCCTGCTTCAAGGATGGTAGAGAGCAGTCTTCAGCCTGAGACCCATCCCTAGGTAAGTAGCTGAACTGAGGTTTTGTCTTGGCTGAAGGTTAACAACCAGCTGGTCTGAATTTCTTCTTCCCATTAGAGCAGTCTGTGGTCATATCATTTGACTTCTGTTGTTGTTGTTTTTTCTGGTCTTTCTCTCATCAGATTTGACCAACTCTACCTGACTTGGTCAAATCCAAGTGAGAATTCCAAATTATGGGTAACAAAGCCTCTCTAATTTGGCTAAAATTCCTTGCAGCTGCAAAAGAGGAAAAAACTAAACGAAAAAAACCAACAAATCACGTGCTTGGTTTCTGTGTTTGCTTTCTGTCTTAAAAAACAAACAAACAAAAACAACAAATGCTCTTTCACTTACTTTTCTTCCTCCCTATACCTCCTCCTGCCTTTGCCATCTGCGGGACCAAAAAAATCTAGAGAAGGCTTCCAATGACTCGAGCCCCTTTAAAGGATCCGGAACAAAGGGGCCACTCACCCCTTCCAGGGTGCTCTGTTTTCTTTGTGGAGTTTCAAGAGTGATGGGCGGATTCTTCTTAGGTCTAAAGCTCTGCTGTCTTCCTGTATGGCATGACCTGACCTCTTTGGCTTTGGGGGAACCAGAGATGACCCTGCACTGTGAGAGGATTTGACCTTGGCGTGTGTAATGGCAGACGAGAACTACAAAGAAGGGGTGGCTGAGCACAGTTTACAGGGAATGGTCTTGGCTGTTTTTTTTTTTTTTTTTCTCTTCTAGGAAGCTGTGATTTAAGGATCCTAATTCTAGTTCAGAGATGCATCCTAAAGGGTCTTCTCTATTGCTTTTTCTCCCAAAATGAATCTCAGTTTGGGTTGTCTATGTATTTGCATGAGGAACTGAACTGTTGTTGTCATAGGTAAATGAGAGATTGAGTTTTCTCAGCTCCAAAGAGAAAGGGCGTTTGCTCCTCCCAGCCGAGTACTCCATAGGGTTCATGGCGCCTCTACTTGCCAGAGTTTACGTAAAGTGGAAGTAATATGGTCTTTCTGCACATTTACATTAAAAAAAAAAGGAGCCCTGAGGTTGACCTGCAAACTGTAGAGTTCCTGAGTCCTCTTTTTTCTCTAGTTTCTTCTCTGCCTGCTTTAAATTTGCTGTTATTTTCCTATTAAGATAAAAAACACTGTTTGGATCAGATAGTTTTTCTGTTTGTAAACTGGGGAATTTGTATTTATTTCATGGCTAAATTTCTTTTTTTCTTTTCTTTCTCTTTTTTTTTTCTTTTTTTTTTGAGGCAGAGTTTCACTCTTGTTGCCCAGGCTGGAGTGCAATGGCGTGATCTTGGGTCACCACAGTCTCCGCTTCCCTGGTTCAAGTGATTCTCTTGCCTCAGCCTCCCGAGTAGCTGGGATTACAGGCATGCACCACCACGCCTGGCTAATTTTTTGTATTTTTAGTAGAGATGGGGTTTCTCCATGTTCGTCAGGCTGGTCTCCAACTCCTGACCTCAGGTGATCTGCCCGCCTCGGCCTCCCAAGGTGCTGGGATTACAGGCGTGAGCCACCGCGCCCAGCTTTCATGGCTAAATTTCTGAAGTAAAAGCTATAGGATCTTTGTGTGTGTGTATATATTTAAAAGGCCTTTATAATTTCTATAATTTTATGTTTAATTGGCAATTAAATCTGTTTTAATTTCCCTCCAGCACACCAGACTTTTTCTCTCCATACGTTATGATGTAAATTTTGCTATTCGATTTTCACCTCAGTTTCCTTAAAATGCAAATTCAAGGCTATTTAGCTGACAACCGCTTAGAGTAGTAAAACAGGTTATCAAGAATTCGAAGGTGTGGCTGGGCACGGTGGCTCACGTCTGTAATCCTAGCATTTGGGAGGCTGAGCCGCAAAGATCTCTTGAGGTCAGGAGTTCAAAACCATCTTGGCCAACATGTTGAAACCCCGTCTCTACTAAAAATACAAAAAAAATTAGCCAGGTGTGGTGGCAGGTGCCTATAATCCCAGCTACTCAGGAAGCTGAGGCAGGAGAATCACTTGAAGCCAGGAGGCAGAGGTTGCAGTGAGTCGAGATCAAGCCATTGCACTCCAGCCTGGGCAACAGAGTGAGACTCTGTCTCAAAAAAAAAAAAAAAAAAGTAAAAAAGAATTTGAAGGTGTAAGAAAAAAGCTCTTTATGAATCTATAAGATGAACTTCTTTCAGCATACCTAATACATCTGTGTATTTATGTGTTGTTGTGTACACAGTGTTTTGCTACTGAAAATATATAAAAGAGCTCTAATTAATTGGCTTAAGAAAATAAAAGCACTTGGCTGGGTGCAGTGGCTCATGCCTGTACTCCCAGCACTTTGGGAGGCTGAGGTAGGTAGATCACCTGAGGTCAGGAGTTTGAGACTAGCCTGGCCAACATGGTGAAACCCCATCTCTACTAAAAATACAAAAATTAGCCGGACGTGGTGGTGCGCGCCTATAATCCCAGCTACTCCAGAGGCTGAGGCAGGAGAATTGTTGGATCCCGGGAGGAAGAGGTTTCATTGAGCTGAGATCTCATTACTGTACACTCCAGCCTGGGTGACAGAGCAAGACTCCATCTCAAAAAAAAAAAAAAAAAGCTAGTGATTCCATATCTTCAAATCAAATTTCAGTGGAGTGTTTACCGGGCAAGGAAGGCAGGGGGGTCAGCTTGCTGACAGCCTCAACCTGCCAGCCCTCAGCCTGCACATTTGTGATCACCTGGTCACACACCTGGGCAGGAGGCTGCCCCTCCCTGGTTTGAGGAAGCAGGAAAAGGTACCCGCGAGAGACAGCCAGCAGTTCTGTGGAGCAGCGGTGGCCGGCTAGGATGGGCTGTCTCTGGGGTCTGGCTCTGCCCCTTTTCTTCTTCTGCTGGGAGGTTGGGGTCTCTGGGAGCTCTGCAGGTAAGGAGGCCTAGAAGGGCCTGGTGGGCCTCTCCCCTAGTAGGGCTCTGGGAGTGAATTTCAGTATGAGCCACCCTTCATGGGCAAGGGCAGGCTCTCTCGGGTTGATTATAATGAACCACAGTGCTACTTGTGAAGTGCTATTATTGTTGATAAAGAGTGTGCAAATGACAGTGTGAGTGAGTGTAAGCGTGCATGGCGCTGCAGTACACACTAATCAACCATGACGATGTGTGTGAGTGTAAGCGTGCCTGGCGCTGCAGTACACACTAATCAAACATGACGCTGCCATCGTAAGGGGTGGCTGAGAGTTTCTGTTTATGAACGTGGGACAGTAAGTGGGGCACGGAGCGGGGGTGCAGGGAGGTGCCAGCTGGTGATCATTGTGCAGAAAGCTGAAGAATGTGGCTTAACAAGATTCTGACTCCTCCCAGTTTATTACCTAGCATGGATTTCCTTCAAAATACAGATTTCGTGTGAAAAGTCCAACTGCCACAAACTGCTTGGGAAGGGTGGATGCTGACAGGCAGGGCTTTTGTGAAAGACGGGAATGAACCCTGACCTGTCGCTAATAGGAGTTGTGCCAAACTCATCACATACATTAAAAAATAGAAAAGGATTTATTTTTTTTTTAGAGCAGTTCTATGCTCCCTCTAAACCTCGAGTGGAGAGGCCGGGCGTGGTGGCTCACACCTGTAATCCCAGCATTTTGGGAGGCTGAGGTGGGTGGATCACCTGAGGTCAGGAGTTCGAGACCAGCCTGACCAACATGGAGAAACCCCGTCTCTACTAAAAATACAAAATTAGCCGGGGGTGGTAGCAGGTGCCTGTAATCCCAGCTACTCGGGAGGCTGAGGCAGGAGAATTGCTTGAACCTGGGAGGTGGAGTTTGCAGTGAGCTGAGATCGCACCGTTGCGCTCTGGCCTGGGCAACAAAAGTGAAACTGTGTTTCAAAAAAAAAAAAAAGCTGCAGTGGAGAGTCTGGAGTTCCCATCCCCACCACTCACAGCCTCCCCCATCATCAGCGTCCCCCACCAGAGTGGCACATTTGATAGGACTGAGGAACCTACTTTGATGCATCATTATCATACATTGTATTTTTAATCCTCACAACGGCCCTGCAAGATCGGCCCTGTTCTTACCACCCCCCACCTCCACTGCTTTAAGGATGAGGCCACTGTGCTTCTGGGCATCCAGTAACAACTCCTCGGAGCCAGAATCTGACTCCTCACAGGCCTGAGCACTGCACCCCGTGGCCTCCTGCCTGTGCTCACCGTGGCCTGGTCTGCGCTGCACGTGTCCCGTTAGCTCCACCTTACAGGTGCGGAAATGCAGGCTTGGAGCTGAGAGACTTGGCCAGGGTCACAGGGCAGAGAGCAGATTCTCCAACTCAGGGTCCCAAGTCCACACGCTTTCCTCTCCACCAGATTTGAAGATTGTACCAGGAGAGCCGCAGTGTTCCAGAGCTACTGAGGGGGCTGGGCTGGGATTTGCTGTATTCGAGAAGACCCCCTTGGACCCGAGAGGCTGTGGGCTTGGGGAGCATGAGGAGGTTTCACAGCAGAAAGGACACCCCGGGGCTCCTGGATAAGCCAGAAAATGTGCCAGGGGAAGTCGGGCTCCAAGGGCACCACTCTGGGCTTCCAGCTGTGTGGGCTGGACCAAGAAGGCTCAGAGAAATGATCTCAGGCTTGAAGTGGGGAGAAGAAACTGTATTATGAAGGCAGACGAACAGTTCCTGCAAAGGTGAGATTTGTGTGTGCAGCTGGGCCGCACCGGACCAGGGATGAGAGTGGGTGCCCGGGACTCGCCTATACTGCCTGGGGGTGCAGCCCGCACTCCTCACTATAGTCAAATCGACTATGCGTGCTTTCCAGGGGCCCGGGAGAGGACTCCATGGGGAGGGATGCTTACCTTGTGGGCTTTGGAATATAAGCCCTTTCATCTTCTCCGCTGGTCCTCACCACGTTGGCAAGGCAGGTATTGTGACCCTGTTTTCTCAGGTGAGGACATGGAGGCTGGGAGGGGTCTAGAGACTGGCCTGGCTAGTAGGAGGCTGAGTCAGGATTTGAACCAGCAGATCATCTGACCCCAGAGCCGGTCGTGGGCGGCACAGCGGGAGCTGCAACCGAGGCTCTTGACTCCTGCCTCGTCATTCCCTGAGGTCCACAGGACAACCAGCTGGGGACCTGGAGCCCCATCCTGACGTCCTGGGGAGAGGTGCTAGGCCTCTTTTGGGTCTATGAGCTACTTTTGGGCCAGTGGAGCCGGGTAAAGACCATCTCAAACCCTGTGCCAGGGGAGGTCAGACTCCAAGAGCGCCACCTTTGGGCTTCCAGCTGTGTGGGCTGCACCAAGAAGGCTCAGAGAATTAGGGGGTTCGTATTTGATCCTTTTCCTTCCAAGACTGGGATTACCAGATAAAACACAGGGCATCCAGTTACATTTGAATTTCAGGTAACAATTTTTTTTTAAGTGTAAGTACGTAGCCAATATTGCATGAGAAATACTCATGCTAAAAAGTTATTCGTCATTTATCTGAACTGCGAGTTCAAATTTAACCGAGTACCCTGTATTTTTATTTGCTAAATCTAGAAACCCTCTCCAAGAGGCTCCTTGGCCCACTCACAGGGAGAGCCCGATCTCCCTCTAGACAGGGGAGGCCCCCTTTCTCAGGCCAGAAAAGATCTTGTAGTAAACTACTCAAGAGGCTGAGGCAGGAGGATCGCTTGAGCCCAGGAATTCAAGACCTGCCTGGGCAACAGAGCAAGACCCTGTCTCTAGGGAAGATATCCTACCGTAGCCTCCCTCGGGGACTCCCATTCCTCCCACCTCAGGGCCAGTCAAGGGAACAGGCCTCTGCTCTGGGCAGAAGTGCCGGCAGCCGCTCTCTGAAAAGCTAGGTGTTGCCTCAGGGGCTCCCGGTGTCCTGTGGAAAATGCCTGGCCACGGTTTCCATGGTTCCCAGGCTCCAACCCTGCAGTTCTCGGCCCTCATTCAGGAGGGGCCTCGGCAGGGTGGGGGGTGCCGTCTTTCCCTTGCCGGAGCCCCAAGGACTCTGCCGGCTCCCTCGCTTTGGCAGCAGCACTGCCCACCCTGTCTCTGGAGGTTCCCCCGCCTCAATCCACCCAGCTACCCCGAAAGGCACAATCATAGGCCTTTCTCGTCTTTTAAGGGTTTTTACTTCCATGGGGAACTATGTGTTGGATGAGAAAAGTACCCGGGGAAGGCGACAGAGGTTCAGAAAGCTCTGCGAGTCCTGGACGCTGGTCTGCCTTCTTGGCTCACCCTGGAAGGTGGACGCTGGCCCCACACATCCCCTCTTAAAGACGCAGGCCGATAGCCAGCAGATCCTGGGGCTTGCTGGCCCCAAGTGAGTTGTCAGGGTTTCAGAGGACGCCAGTCATGGCAACCCCAGCTCCATGGCTGCCACACAGGCCTGGGCTTCCCAGGACTGCCTCCTTCTTGTTCGCTTATGTAGATGAAAAATGAGGTAACGGCACTCCCCTGCCCCACCCTCCTCCCAGAAGTGCCCAGGGTGTAAATGCAATAGCTTGTGTGAAGTCCACTGGAACCCAGGCTCACCAAGTCAGTCTTAACCAACACAGGCCCCAGCACCCGCAGAGCAGACACTGCGATGACAACGGACGACACAGAAGTGCCCGCTATGACTCTAGCACCGGGCCACGCCGCTCTGGAAACTCAAACACTGAGCGCTGAGACCTCTTCTAGGGCCTCAACCCCAGCCGGCCCCGTTCCAGAAGCAGAGACCAGGGGATCCAAGAGAATTTCCCCTGCAAGAGAGACCAGGAGTTTCACAAAAACATCTCCCAACTTCATGGTGCTGATCGCCACCTCCGTGGAGACATCAGCCGCCAGTGGCAGCCCCGAGGGAGCTGGAATGACCACAGTTCAGACCATCACAGGCAGTGATCCCGAGGAAGCCATCTTTGACACCCTTTGCACCGATGACAGCTCTGAAGAGGCAAAGACACTCACAATGGACATATTGACATTGGCTCACACCTCCACAGAAGCTAAGGGCCTGTCCTCAGAGAGCAGTGCCTCTTCCGACGGCCCCCATCCAGTCATCACCCCGTCACGGGCCTCAGAGAGCAGCGCCTCTTCCGACGGCCCCCATCCAGTCATCACCCCGTCACGGGCCTCAGAGAGCAGCGCCTCTTCCGACGGCCCCCATCCAGTCATCACCCCGTCACGGGCCTCAGAGAGCAGCGCCTCTTCCGACGGCCCCCATCCAGTCATCACCCCCTCATGGTCCCCGGGATCTGACGTCACTCTCCTCGCTGAAGCCCTGGTGACTGTCACAAACATCGAGGTTATTAATTGCAGCATCACAGAAATAGAAACAACGACTTCCAGCATCCCTGGGGCCTCAGACACAGATCCCATCCCCACGGAAGGGGTGAAGGCCTCGTCCACCTCCGATCCACCAGCTCTGCCTGACTCCACTGAAGCAAAACCACACATCACTGAGGTCACAGCCTCTGCCGAGACCCTGTCCACAGCCGGCACCACAGAGTCAGCTGCACCTGATGCCACGATTGGGACCCCACTCCCCACCAACAGCACCATAGAAAGAGAAGTGACAGCACCCGGGGCCACGACCCTCAGTGGAGCTCTGGCCACAGGGAATCCCCTGGAAGAAACCTCAGCCCTCTCTGTTGAGACACCAAGTTACGTCAAAGTCTCAGGAGCAGCTCCGGTCTCCATAGAGGCTGGGTCAGCAGTGGGCAAAACAACTTCCTTTGCTGGGAGCTCTGCTTCCTCCTACAGCCCCTCGGAAGCCGCCCTCAAGAACTTCACCCCTTCAGAGACACTGACCACGGACATCGCAACCAAGGGGCCCTTCCCCACCAGCAGGGACCCTCTTCCTTCTGTCCCTCCAACTACAACCAACAGCAGCCGAGGGACGAACAGCACCTTAGCCAAGATCACAACCTCAGCGAAGACCACGATGAAGCCCCCAACAGCCACGCCCACGACTGCCCGGACGAGGCCGACCACAGACATGAGTGCAGGTAAGTGGCTCCTGCTGGTGATCTTCGGGGATTTGGGATGCGGAGTTTCCAGGACGTCTCCGCACTTGAGGAGTGGAGAGGAGGGAAGGATCTGGAGCCTACTCAGAGCCTGCTCCTGATGTTGCCTCTTCGTGATCTTCTAGTGGTTCTTGGCGAAATCAGGAAAAGGCAGATGGAGGGTTGTGTATGGAAAGGGGTGGGGATGGAAGTCCGGAGAAATGGTTTGCGGTCTCGGCTCTGCCTGTAACAACCCGAGTGACCTTGGGCAAGTCCCTGTCCCTCTCTGGGCCTCAGTTTCTCCACCTGTATTTGGAGAGGGTTGGAATGGGCACTGAAGTCCTGTCCAGCTCTGACCTTCTGTGAAGTGCACTGTTGAGCAGCTCTGGAAGCTTCTATTCCAGCCATAGCCACACAGAGGAGCAGCAGGCAGGCATCAGGCCCAAGCTGCTGCTCTCTGACAGGCTGGGACCCCATGAAAGTGGGGCCTGCTGGATGCATTTCCTGGGATTTATGCCATAGATAGTGACTTAAAATAAATTAATACAGGCCTGGAGCGGTGGCTTATGCCTGTAATCCCAGCACTTTGGGAGGCAGAGGCGGGCGGATCACCTGAGGTCAGGAGTTCGAGACCAGGCTGACCAACATGGTGAAACCCCATCTCTACTAAAAATATGAAAATTAGCTGGGCGCAGTGGTGGGCGCCTGTAATCCCAGCTACTTGGGAGACTGAGGCAGGAGAATCACTTGAACCCGGGAGGTGGAGGTTACAGTGAGCTGAGACGGAGTGAAACTCCGTCTCAAAAAAAAAAGGTAAGATAAAATAAGCAAATACAGCGAAGGCTTGGGAGTTTAAAGCTACATCTCTGAGGCAACAGGGACTTCTCAGGGGAGAAGTTCATTGTCAGAGGCTGCTTGGTCAGTCCAGCTTCTGGTCAGCCTGTAGCCTCCACCTCCACTTCCTGTCACTCTGCCCTTGGGCCTCATCTCTGTGTATCCGCAGCTTGTTACCACCTTTCTGGGGGAGGTGGGAATACAAATATTAATCACAACCACTCAATACATAAAGATATTATTGAATATCTTTCATGTTATAGGCAGGGGTGATATAAACATGTTTCACACCCAGTAAGCACTGGCCCCAGCAGAACGTTCTCTCCGGTGCCAGGCAGTGTGCCACCAGCTTTGCATATGTTATCTGATGCCAGGCAGTGTGCCACCGGCTTTGTATATGTTATCTGATGCCAGGCAGTGTGCCACCGGCTTTGCATATGTTATCTGATGCCAGGCAGTGTACCACCAGCTTTGCATATGTTATCTGATGCCAGGCAGTGTACCACCAGCTTTGCATATGTTATCTGATGCCAGGCAGTGTGCCACCAGCTTTGCATATGTTATGATGCCAGGCAGTGTGCCACCAGCTTTGCATATGTTATCTCCTCTATTTAACCTTCAAAACAGCCTTAGGAGGTGGGTAACACGACCCCATCTGACAGGGTTGAAGATGGTAGCTAAACTGCTCTGGAAAGTGAAGGGGTGGCCTGCCCCTCCACACCTGTGGGTATTTCTAGTCGGGTGGGATGAGAGACTGAGAAAAGAAATAAGGCACAGAGACAAAGTATAGAGAAACAACAGTGGGCCCAGGGGACCGGCGCTCAGCATACCAAGGACCTGCACCGGCACCAGTCTCTGAGTTTTCTCAGTTTTTATTGATTATTATTTTCATTATTTTAGCAAAAAGGAATGTAGTAGGAGAGCAGGGTGATAATAAGGAGAAGGTCAGCAAGAAACATGTGAGCAAAAGAATCTGTGTCATAATTAAGTTCAAGGGAAGATACTATGCCTGGATGTGCACGTAGGCCAGATTTATGTTTCTCTCCACCCAAACATCTCAGCAGAGTAAAGAATAATAAAGCAGCATTGCTGCAAACATGTCTCACCTCCCGCCACAGGGTGGTTTTTCTCCTGTCTCAGAATTGAACAAATGTACAATCGGGTTTTATACTGAGACATTCAGTTCCCAGGGGCAGGCAGGAGACAGTGGCCTTCCTCTAGCTCAACTGCAAGAGGCTTTCCTCTTTTACTAATCCACCTCAGCACAGACCCTTTACGGGTGTCAGCCTGGGGGACGGTCAGGTCTTTGTCATCCCACGAGGCCATATTTCAGACTATCACATGGGGAGAAAGCTTGGACAATACCCTGCTTTCAAGGGCAGAGGTCCCTGCGGCTTTCCACAGTGCATTGTGCCCCTGGTTTATTGAGACTAGAGAATGGCGATGACTTCTACCAAGTATACTGCTTGTAAACATTTTGTTAACAAGGCACGTCCTGCACAGCCCTAGATCCCTTAAACCTTGATTTTATACAACACATGTTTTTATGAGCTCAAGGTTGGGGCAAAGTTACAAATTAACAACATCTCAGCAAAGCTTGTTTAAAGTACAGGTCTTTTTCAAAATGGAGTCTCATGTCTTTCCTTTCTACAGAGACACAGTGACAGTCTGATCGCTCCTTCTTTTCCCTGGAAAGAAAAATACTTTATTATTTGTTGATTAGATAAGACATTCATATGATTTGAAATGGAAAGGTACGAAAAGGTTCACCATAAAATGCCTTTCTCCCCTGGCTGTGCCCCCACCCAGTTCTCTCCACACATGTAACCCGTGAGATTGTCTCTTGTGTGTAATTTTCTGCACATGAAATGTACATACGGAAGCAAATATATGTGACTATTTCATCCTCCTCTTTTTTTTTTTTTTTTTTTTTGAGACAGTTTCGCTCTTGTTGCCCAGGTTGGAGTGTAGTGCTGCGATCTCAGATCACCACAACCTCCGCCTCCCAGGTTCAGGCGATTCTCCTGCCTCAGCCTCCTGAGTAGCTGGGATTACAGGCACACACCACCATGCCCGGCTCATTTTGTGTTTTTAGTAAAGACGGGATTTCTCCATGTTGGTCAGGCTGGTCTCAAACTCCCGATCTCAGGTGATCCACCTGCCTCTGCCTCCCAAAGTGCTGGGATGACAGGTGTGAGCCACTGTGCCCAGCCCTGATTTTCATCTTACTGTTCTCCATTTGCAGGTGAAAATGGAGGTTTCCTCCTCCTGCGGCTGAGTGTGGCTTCCCCGGAAGACCTCACTGACCCCAGAGTGGCAGAAAGGCTGATGCAGCAGGTGAGTGGGCACTTTCCGGGCCAGGGGAGTAGAGGAAGGGGCGAGGTTCGCAGGGGCTGCAGGGAAGACCCGCAGGACACAGAAGAGCAGCTACCGCACTTGGAAGGGAGTCTCGTTTCTTACGGAGAATTGGGAGCTGAATCTGAGGATCTCTGCCTGGCTTTGCTTCTGCCTGCCTTCTCCGAGTTCTTCATTTCCTTCTCTGCAATGTAAACTTGTGACTCCTGGAGCCCCCAGTTTCTTCTGGTCCTTGGAAGCTTGGCCTTCTGGCCTCTGAGGCAAAGGTCAGTGATACTGATGGGAGGGTAGGTCGGACTCTTGGTTGCAAGTGGCAGAAACCCAAGTCAGAGCAGTTTATGCAAAAAAAAAAAAAAAAGGCAAGGTCTGAGAAACCTACAAGTGTCTCTTCAGCTTCAGTACGGCTGGATCCAGCAGCTCCAACGCCATCACAGGGACTTTCTCTTTCTTTCCCTGTCTTAGCTTTACTCCCTTCATTCTTCAGAGTCTTTCTTCATGTGTATGAAAAGGCAGCCTTGTTAGCCATAGATTCACAAGGGACTTCCATCTCCCCACATTTTCTTTTCTTTTTTCTTTTTCTTTCTTTCTTTTTGTTTTTTGAGACGAAGTCTCGCTCTGTCGCCCAGGCTGGAGTGCAGTGGTGCGATCTCAGCTCACTGCAAGCTCCGCCTCCTGGGTTCACGCCATTCTCCTGCCTCAGCCTCCCAAGTAGCTGGGACTACAGGCGCCCGCCACCACGCCCAACTAATTTTTATGTTTTTTTTTTTAGTAGAGACGGGGTTTCACCGTGTTAGCCAGAATAGTCTCAATCTCCTGACCTCGTGATCCACCCGTCTTGGCCTCCCAAAGTGCTGGGATTACAGACATGAGCCACCGCACCCGGCCCCCTCTCCCCAAATTTTCATGTCATCTGGGGAAGTGCAGGTCTCCATGGCCTGCAAGGGTCACCATGACTGACAACCCAGTCAGGATCCCATAGAGGAAGGATGAGCCCCAAGAAAATAGGGAGGCTAGGCAGAAAAAACCGCAGAGATGTATACTCTAGATGAGGACCATGATTGGGATGTATTTGTACAAGTTGGGAAAATTCTCCTAAAACCCACTGGATAGAACTTCCAATGGTAAAGTTCCGGGGTCAGGGTTTTGAGGATGGGGATGGTGTGGCTTGTTGGAGGTTAGACTGGGTCAGCTCAGTGCAGATGTCACGGGCCTGGCCTCACTGAGGGGTGGGTTGTTCTCCTAATGTGTGGTACAAAGTAGCAGATGGGGCATGATGGGAAGTGTCTAAGCTCTGCTCACAGATGTAACCGTGAAAACAGGCCCAGTGCACAGTCTAATGTGGATTGCCTCTTTGACAGTGCCCTTGCTAATACCTGAAGCTTGCATTCAGCACCTCTCACAGTCAATGGGACAGTGCCCTTGCTAATACCTGAAGCTTGCATTCAGCACCTCTCACAGTCAATGGGTGCCACACTGCTGAAAAGTGGCTCAGGCTTCCTGTCATCCCTTGCAAGGGTAAACCTGGCAGAGATGCTGGCTGGGGGTCTTATGCCAGGTGTAGAGTTCATAGCCAGGCTGGACAGGTGGAATGATTGCCCTTAGCAGAGGGAAGCAAGATATGTCCGTGGAGAGTGGGATCCTTTGTTGCAGGCGAAAGAAAACCTCTGTCTGTCGTAAGTAAAAGGGGGATTTGTTGGCAGCGTCCCAGAGTGCATAGAATCAAAGCAATGCCAGGACAGCAGGCTTGGAAAATAGGCAGGAGGGCCCCCAGGAGCTCTGAGGTCCAGACAGTGGGATCAGGCTGGCTGGGACACTGTCCCTCTTGCTGGTCAGTCACTATTGGATGCTGCCACAGCCAAGGGGCATCACGTGGCCTGCACACACATTCACATAGGTTCTCGCTGCCTTTTTGTCTCACTGGACTTTTTGCTCCAGAGCCAAAGTCCTGAGTAGGAACATTTGATAGGCTGAGCTTAGCCCTTGTACTCCCATGAGCCCACAGCCAGGTGCCAGGGGACGGGAAGAAGGGATGTCTGTGTCCTTGGAGTTCTCTTAGCAGCAGTGAGGCCGATCGTGACTCCCACTGTGAGGAGTTCCCTAAACATGGCACGGGGGCTCGACACCCGATGGCCAAATAAGTGACAAATGCCCCCGGCATGTGATAATCAAAGTAGCGAGTGTGAATCCTTGTGGGAGAGGGAAGCCAATTGCTTTTGTTTTGTTTTGTTTTGTTTTGTTTTGTTTTGTTTTGTTTTGTTTTCTGAGACTGAGTCTCACTCTGTCATCCAAGCTGGAGTGCAGTGGTGCGATCTTGGCTCACCACAACCTCCGCCTCCCAGGTTCAAGCCATTCTCCTGCCTCAACCTTCTGAGTAGCTGGGATTACAGGCCCGCACCACCATACCTGGCTAATTTTTGTATTTTTAGTAGAGATGGAGTTTCAGGTTTCAGCATCTTGGCCAGGCTAGTCTTGAACTCTTGACCTCATGATCCACCCACCTCAGCCTCCCAAAGTGCTGGGATTACAGGCGTTGAGTCATTGTGTCCGGCTGGGAAGCCAGTTTTCTTTTTCTTTTTCTTTTTCTTTCTCTTTTTCTTTTCTTTTCTTTTATTTTTCTTGAGACAGATTCTCGCTCTGTCGTCCAGGCTGGAGTGCAATGGCACGATCTCGGCTCACTGCAACCTCCACCTCCCGGATTCAAGCAATTCTCCTGCCTCAACCTCCCTAGTAGCTGGGATTACAGGTGCACACTACCACTCCTGGCTAATTTTTGTATTTTTAGTAGAGATGGGGTTTCTCCATGTTGGTCAGGCTGGTCTCGAACTCCTGACCTCAGGTGACCCACCTGCCTCTGCTTCCCAAAGCACTGGGATTATTGGCGTGAGCCACCGCACCCGGCCGGGAAGCCAGTTTTGAATCTCAGGTCTAAGCCCCCAAACCAGAAATGATTTCAGGAATCGGAAAGAAACCGCGAGATCAGGAGCAGGTCAAGCAGCTGAGGCGCAGGCACCAGGCCACATGGGGTTGGGCATCAGTTCTCGTCCGGGGACAGCCCAACAGTTTGGGCTCGGGGATTAGACAATGAGCTTAGGAACCAGCTAGATCTGGGTGTGAATTCTAGTTCCCAACTGTGTGATCTTGGATAAGTTATTCTATGCGACTTTCATCCCTTATAAAATGAGGATCCTAACACCTGCTTTATAAGGTTGCTGTGAGGTTTAGATGACATAATGTGTGTGAGGCACCAGCCTGTGTCCAGCATGTAGGAGGCCCAGGAAGGGTTGCCGTCCTCCGCATGCACTCTGCCCCAGTGTCCCTTCCTGTCCTCTGCCTCTGGCGAGCTCATGGGCCAGATGGGCTGAAAGGACAGCTGGCTCTTTTGCTCTCCAGCTCCACCGGGAACTCCACGCCCACGCGCCTCACTTCCAGGTCTCCTTACTGCGTGTCAGGAGAGGCTAACGGACATCAGCTGCAGCCAGGCATGTCCCGTATGCCAAAAGAGGGTGCTGCCCCTAGCCTGGGCCCCCACCGACAGACTGCAGCTGCGTTACTGTGCTGAGAGGTACCCAGAAGGTTCCCATGAAGGGCAGCATGTCCAAGCCCCTGACCCCAGATGTGGCAACAGGACCCTCGCTCACATCCACCGGAGTGTATGTGTGGGGAGGGGCTTCACCTGTTCCCAGAGGTGTCCTTGGACTCACCTTGGCACATGTTCTGTGTTTCAGTAAAGAGAGACCTGATCACCCATCTGTGTGCTTCCATCCTGCATTAAAATTCACTCAGTGTGGCCCAGAGGCTGTCTATTGATCTGCATGCTTTCGCCATTTTTATAGTACAGGGATTGTGTATAGTCTCACTGCTACCTCCTCCTTCTACTCCCCCAGGTCTTGGTTTGGACTTTGATGATAGCATTTACTGAGACGGGCCTGGAGCCTGTCGAACAGCCCGCTGCAGCAGGGCAGGGACCACCTTTGTTCATCTCAGTATCCCCTGAACTAGCAGAGTGTCTGGCCTGCAGTGGGATCGCAGAGAATGTGGAATTGACCTAAATTTAAATTTCAAGTTCTGGACACAAGCCTCAATTATTCCTCTTATATGTTATAACTTACATGCTATTATTTTTTTAAAAAATTAATATGGTTTACTTTTTATTATAAAAGTAAAACTTGGCCAGGCTCAGTGGCTCACGCCTGTAATCCCAGCACTTTGGGAGGCCGAGGCCGGTGGATCACGAGGTCAGGAGTTTGAGACTAGCCTGGCCAACATGGTGAAACCCCGTCTCTACTAAAAACACGAAAATTAGCTGGGTGTGGTGGCAGGTGCCTGTAATCCCAGCTACCCAGGAGGCTGAGACGGGAGAATCACTTGAACCCGGGAGGCAGAGGTTGCAGTGACCCAAGATCCTACCACTGCACCCCAGCCTGGGCAAAAGGGCAAGACTCTGTCTCATAAATAAATAAATTTAAAATAAAAGTAAAACTTGTTTATGATTTCAAAATTTTGAAATATTCCAAAGACCAAGCAAAGTAAGAAGTGGGAAGAGGAGAAAGAAAAACTTTTCTATAATCCCACCTCTTAGATACAACGATTTATTTTTTAAAATTGAGACAGGGTCTCACTCTCACCCAAACTGCAGTGCAGTGGTGCGACCATGGCTCACTGCAGCCTCCACCTCCCAGCTCCAGTGATCCTCCCACCTCAGCCTCCTGAGGAGCTGGGACCACAGCTGGCTAATTTTTGTACTTTGTTTTGTAAAAAAGGGGCTTTACCATGTTGAGCAGGTTGGTCTCGATCTTCTGAGCTCAAGCAGTCCTCCTGCCTCAGACTCGCAAAGTGCTGGGATTACAGACATGAGCCACTGTGCCCAGCCTTATATACAGCTATTATTATTAATGTATACTGTGTATTCATTTCAATTCTTAATCTCTCCACTTGGATGTTGATGAAATACATACCTCACATTCAACATTTCTTTCTTTTTTTTTTTCTTTTTGAGATGGAAAGGAGCCTGGCTCTGTCACCCAGGCTGGAGTGCAGTGGCGTGATCTCAGCTCACTGCAAGCTCCACCTCTTGGGTTCACGTGATTCTCCTGCCTCAGCCTCCTGAGTATCTGGGACTACAGGTGCCACCACCATGCTCGGCTAATTTTTTGAATTTTTAGTAGAGACGGAGTTTCACCGTGTCAGCCAGCCTGGTCTCAAACTCCTGACCTCAAGTGATCCACCCACCTCGGCCTCCCAAAGTGCTGGGATTCCAGTTAATGAGCACTGCTCCTGGCCTCCACATTTCTAAAATCGAAGTTCTGATCTTTTCCTCTGGACCTGCCCCACCTGCATCTTCCCCATCTCAGTTAACGTCAGTTGCATCCTTCAGGTGCTCAGGCCGAAATCCTCGGCACCGTCTTTATTCCCCTCTCACATTTTGCACCAGGAAATTCTGCTGGCTCTAAGGCCATCAAACTGTGCCCAGAATGTGGCCCCTCCTCAGCATCTCCAGTGCTACCACCGAGATGGTCCACGATGCCATCATCTCTCACCTGCACTACTACAGGTCTCCCTGTTTCCAGCTCAGCCCCCACCCCAGTCTAGTCCCAGTGTGTCAGCCAGGGCTGTCTTTTTACAACATAAGGCAGAACACACCACTTCTTTGCTCCAATCCTCCCATTTCACTCAGAAGAAAAGCTCCGACAACAGCTGCAAAGCCGTGCACGACCTGCGCCCCTCCCCTGCCTCCTTAATTTGCTGACTGCACCGCAGCCACACGGACGTCTTTCTTGTCCCTTGAATGCGCTGGGCCTGCTCTTGCCTTGGGACCTTTCTGTGCATTGCTTAGTCTGCTCAGAAGCCTTCTCCTCTACATATCCACTTGTCTAAACCCTCTACCTCCACCTTCATGCCCCTTCTCAGCGAGGTCTACCATGACCATGCTGCCTACAAATTCAGTCTCCCCTTCTGTACTTTGACGTACTTTATAGTGCTGATCACAATTGAACGTCATACATATTTTGTTTTCTTTATTATCTGAGTCCTCCAACTAGAATGAAAGATTTTGCCCATTATGGTTTCCCTAGTGCCAAGAACAGTACCTGGCACATACCAGGGGCTCAGTAAACATTTGTTAGATGAATGAAGGAAACAAGGAGACAATGTTGATGCTGCTGTGAGCAAGGGGAGTCTGAACGTTTGACAGATCCCTTCCATTTCTGGAGTGGGGCAGAATGAGTTTCATAAAGTAGCTCGGACAAAAATAATTCGCTCATCTTGGCATATATGTTGGGCAGCTGCCGCAGAAGAGAGACTGAGCTATGTGCCGTGGAGGATTCAAATCTGTCTCTTCTCCCAGGGATTGAAGTTAGACACGTACAGCAATAATAAGTTGAAAGAACTTATTTACACCGCATATAGCAACAACAGGATGCCCTTAATATATAGAGAACTCTTACAGCGCAAGAAAATAAAAAGGCAAACATACCAGTAGAAAAATGGGTAAATGGCAACAGGTAATTCACAAAAGAAGAAATACAAATGTCCTCTCCTCCCGCCACCACCCCCCATGAAAAAGAACGTGTGACTTCAGTAGCAAAAACAGGTCCATTAATACAGTGAGATATTGCTTATTGTATGTCTGTACTGATCTATACTGGGTGCTGGGCAAACGGGCATTCTTAAACACTCCTAGTAGGGAAGAAATTGGTACAACCTTTCCGGAGGACAATTTAACTGATTTATTTAAAGCCCGAAAAATGTACATACCTTTAACTCAGCAGTTTCGTTACTGATTTATCTTAAGGAAGTAATTTAGAATCTGTGCCTAACTGTTTACAATAACTCATAGATGAAAAAGGCAAAACAAAACACAAGTAACCTCAAATCTCCCCATGTAACAGTTTGCTTAAACACTATAGCGTTATTTTACGCAAGCTACAGAAGCATTGTTGAAACATATATTTATTAGGACAGAAAAAAATTCATGAAATGTTATTTTATCTTCTTTTTTCTTAAAATGGAACTTAAAAAAAATTTTTTTAACTCCAACCTACCTTTTACACCATCTGCAGAGCTTTCCTCTCCCAAATCAAAGCTACTCCTGTTCCTACCTCCAGGATGGAATCCCCACCTTCGTATGCAAGGGTCTTCATGATATGGCCTCAGCCAACTATCTTAGCTCCAGGTCACGGCCCCATCTTCCATATCCTATGCTGCTTGCACAGGAAGCAGCTCGCTAACCCCAGGCACACCTGCTTTCATCTGGAGCGTCTGCCCATCATGATTCCTCCCCCTGGTCCCTTCACCTGGAAAACTCCTATTCATTCCTCAAAGCCCAGTTCAGATGGCACCTCTCCATGACTTCATCAGATTCCCTACAGAGGTGCTGATTTTCTGGTCTCTTGTGTTTCTGTTGTAACACTTAACATGCTGTATTATAATGTGCTTATTTTATTTACAAGTTTGTTACATTGTACGTGCTCGAGGACAAGCAGCCGGTAGTATTCACCTCTGTCATCACAGAAGCTGGCGTGGAGCCCTCCACATGAGGGCACTGATGTGTTTGCTGAGTGACTGGGACAATGGTGGGCCACGTGAGCCCCGAAACTTTCAGTGGGCTCTGAAAGTTAAGAAAAGGGCATTCAGTACTGAAATCACACAAAACGTAAATTTAATGATATAATTGTTCCGAAGCTGCTCTATAATTTGGCATGAATGGAGAGCAGTTTACAAAAATGACAACACCACTGTTATATAAACCCAATTCTTAAATAGGTTTTCTTCTCTTGCTTTGTATTTCCTCAAGTGGGTGATACTTAATACAGTGGCTCATGTAATCTTAATTACTACATATGAGGACACGGACATGTACATATGATGCTGATTACTGTTATTTTTGGAAGTAAAAAAATTGTAAAATTTGACTAGCTTAAAAAATCTGTAAAATATGGAATACACAAATTAGAGACTGGGTGCGGTGGCTCATGCCTGTAATCCCAGCACTTTGAGAGGCCGAGGCAGGCGGATCACTTGAGGCCAGGAGTTTGAGACCAACCCAGGCAACATGGTGAAATCCTGTCTCTACTAAAAATACACAAATTAGCTGGGCATAGTGGCAGGTGCCTGTAATCCCAACTACTCAAAAGGGTGAGGCAGGAGAATCACTTGAACCTGGGAGGCGGAGGTTGCAGTGAGCTGAGATTGCGTCACTGCACTCCAGCCTGGTGACAGAGCGAGACCGTGTCTCAAAACGTCAACAAGAACAACACAAATTAGAAGCATTTGGGAACTAAAATGTATCATTATGATTGCATGTGGGTGGGTTGGGGGGGGACAATAAAGAGGAAGAGAGACTGTGTGTGTGTGTGTGTGTGTGTGTGTGTGTGTGTGTGTGTGTGTGTGCACGCCTGTATTACTGGAGATGACCAAAGTTAGCAGGAGTAATGTTACCAAGCTAACAGGAGCCAGAAGTCCCTGGAGAAAACTCTCCAGCTATTTAAGATTCTAAAGTGTGTGTATATGAGGTAAAAATGCCACGTTTTATAAAGACAAATTTAAGCATGGACCTAAACAAGATGGCCTGTCTAAAGTCACCTGTGACTTGGTGTGAGCTCTGAGACGGCGAAACTCCACAGCAATGATGAAGACAACGTGAGGTGGAACTTCTCTGACCAGAGACCTCATCTGAAGCTTCTGCCACAGCCAGTCCTGCCTTCATCCCTTGAGAGGGGGATTGGCCACCAAAGTATGCAAAGCATTTGAATGGAAACGAATTCCGTGGGTGCGCCCCACACTTTAATAGTGGCCATGATATCACTTTCTGGTGCCAGTAAATGCGTAAAGGGGTGCATCATGCCAGTGACCTATCACTCATCATCCCAGTCATTAAGCCACTTACTTCAGGCCTGTGGGGAGTTTCTGGAAGGCTCCTTTGAAGCAGGGAAGAATGGGCAAGGGAGTCTGTGTCTTTGGCCAAGCTTTGCCCCAGATAGCTCCTTTTGCCACTCTCGAGCCCACTGAAGGTGTCCCAGCTGCTGCCACCAGCAGGGGTCGGGGGTCTGCACCCTTCTCTCTTCCAAGCAAACTCACACCTGGCACCCTGGGGAAGGGTCAGTCAGTTATTTTATTCCAGGGGCCAAAGCGACAGAATCCAGACCACTTGTAGCCAGGGAATGAGCTGACGAAAATGGATGGTTGTGTCCTTGTCCTTCTGACTGTCCCACTCGTGAAGGGGCAGCTCCCTGTCCAGCTAGAGAAGGGTGTCCCCAGGTGCCCTCTCCTTTCTTGGGACGCCTCCTCCTCCCGTGCTGTCAGGGCCTCAGCGGCTTTGACTGGGCTCACCAAGAAAACACAGAACAGCCACTTAAATGAGAACCTCGGATAAACGGTGAACACTTAAAAATATACAAGAATGTTCCAAATAGTTCATGGGATATCTTTAAACTAAAACAATTATTTGTGGTTAATCTGAAATTTAAGCTGGGCTGCTTGTATTTTCATTTGCTAAATTGGACAGCCCTACTTTCATTATTATTATTATTATTATTGAGACCCAGTCTCGCTCTGTCACCCAGGCTGGAGTGCAGTGGTGCCATCTCGGCTCACTGCAAGCTCCGCCTCCTGGTTTCAAGGGATTCTCCTGTCTCAGCCTCCCAAGTAGCTGGGATTACAGGTGTGCGCCACCACGCCCAGCTAATTTGTTATATTTTTGGTAGAAACAGGGTTTCACCATGTTGGTCAGGCTGGTCTTGAACTCCTGACCTCAGGTGACTTGCCTGCCTCGGCCTCCCAAAGTGCTGGGATTATAGGTGTGAGCCACCACACCTGGCCCAGACAGCCCTACTTTTAATGCATCCTCTCCCACGACGGTCCCTGGCTCCTCTCTTCCCTCCAATCTGCGGGTCTCCTTCAGGGGTAGCAAGCTCCCAGCCTTCTCCCAGGTATTGGGCCTCTCCTCTGCCTCGGGAGGAGCTGTCCATCAAACACAGGCTCTGTCCTCCCGCTCCCTCCATTGCTTAGTGTGTGAAGGTGGACAGGGGAGGAGGGACCTTGGGTTTGGGGCGGGTCTGCTCCCCACTCGCTGCTTTGCTTTTGCTCTTTCTGGTTTCCTTTCTCCGCAGTTGATGACACAGGGCACCCACAGCGCTCACGTGCCTTCCATGGTGGGGGTGAATCCTTTGCCAATAGTGCCTGGTGGGTTTCAGGTAAGTTGTAACTTTTGGACCTTCTGCTGTCTCTGACTTTGAGTCACATGACAAGGTCCTCATGGAATTGGGATTCTGGCAGCCAGGTGAGGGCGGTCTCACCAGCTCCTTCATGCCTGCAGGCCTCCCCCTTCCTCACAACTGATGGATGGTTGGCTCCCTAGCCGCCCCGTTAGTGCCATGTGTGCTTAATTCTTTTAAAAATTTAAATATATTAATTTTAAAATCATCTTTTAAATAATAAAATTTGCTTTTTAGAGCAGTTTTGGGTTTACAGCAAAATTTTCCTGAGTGGAAAATACAGAAAGTTCCCATATGCCCCCTGCCACACACACATATACCTACGCCCAGCCTCCCCCACCACCAACGCCCTGCACCAGGTGGCACGTGTGACAGTCGATGCGTCCACGTCAACATATCCTCATCAAAGTCCAGAGTTGACAGCACATTTTTGGCGTTGGATATTCTCCATTCTCTATTCAACAACGTATCGGCTGGCCCGGCGCAGTGGCTCATGCCTGTAATCTCAGCACTTTGGGAGGTGGAGGCGGGTGGATCTCTTTGAGATCAGGAGTTCGAGACCAGCCTGGCCAACACGGCGAAAACCCATCTCTACTAAAAATACAAAAATTAGCCGGGTGTGGTGGCGCATGCCTGTAGTCTTAGCTACATGGAAGGCTGAGGCAGGAGAATCGCTTGAACCCGGGAGGTGGAGGTTGCAGTGAGCAGAGATCGCACCACTGCACTCCATTCTGGGCGACAGAGTGAGACTCAATCTCAAAAAATAAAATAACATAAATGTTTCTGCCATTGTAGCATCATACAGAAAAATAAGTAGTTTCAGTGCCCTAAAAATCCTCTGTGCTTCACTTATTCATCCCCAACCCCTGGCAACCACTGATCTTTTCACTGTCTCCATAGTTTTACCTTTTCCAGAATGTCATATAATTGCAACCGTAAGGTAAATAGCCTTTTCAGATTGTCTTCTTTCACATAGTATATGCATTTAAGTTTTCTGTATGTATTTTCATGGCTGTGTAGTTCATTTCATTTTAGTACTGAATAATATTCCATCGTCTGAATGCACCATAGGTTATTTACCCGTTCACCTGCTGAAGGACATCTTGGTTGCTTCCAAGTTTTGGCAATTATGAATAAAGCTGCTATAAATTATGAATAAAGCTGCTATAAACCTCCATGTGCAGGTTTTCGTGTGGACAAAAACGTTTTCTGTCCCTTTGGGTAAATATCAAGGAGTGTGATCGCTGGACTGCATAGTAAGAGTATGGTTTAGTTTGGTAAGAAAGTGCCAAATTGCGGGCGCCTGTGGTCCCAGCTGCTGAGGAGGCTGAGGCAGGAGAATCGCGTGAACCCGGGAGGCGGAGCTTGCAGTGAGCCGAGATCGTGCCACTGCACTCCAGCCTGGGCGACAGAGCCAGACTCCATCTCCAAAAAAAAAAAAAAAAAAGAAACTGCCAAATTGTCTTCCAAAGTGGTTGTACCATGTTGCCTTCCCACCAGCAATGAAGGAGGGTTCCTGTTGCTCCACATCCTGAACAGCATTTGAAGTTTTCAGTGCTGTGGATTTTGATCATTCTTTTTTTCTTTTTCTTTTGAGACGGGGTCTCACTCCATTGCTCAGGCTGGAGTGAAGGCTGGATCGCGGCTCACTGCAGCCTCAACCTCCTGGGCTCAAGCAATCCTGCCATCTCAGCCTCCAGAGTAGCTGGGACCACAGTCACATGCTACCGTGCCCATATAATTTTTTAATTTTTTGTAGAGATGGGATCTTGCTTTGTTGCCCAGGCTGGTCTCAAACTCCTGGGCTCCAGTGATCCTCCTGCTTCAGCCTCCCAAAGTGCTGGGAGTACAGGTGTGAGCCACAGTGCCTGGTGACTGTGGTCATTCTAACAGGTGTGTATTGAGTACAGTTGTGAGCCACGATGCCTGGCGATTGTGGTCATTCTAACGGGTGTGCATGGGTTTCGCGTTGTTTGCGGTTCCCTAATGACATACGATGTTGAACATCTTTGTAGATGCTTATGTGCCATGTGAATGTCTTCTTTGGTGATATGTATGTTCAGTTTTTTTACCCATTTAAAAAACTGGGTTGTTCATTTTCTTATTGTTGAGTTGTAAGAGTTATTTGTATATTTAATTAATTAATTAATATTTTTTGAGACAGAGTCTCACTCTGTTGCCCAGGCTGGAGTGCAGTGGCGCGATCTCAGTTCACTGCAATCTCCGCCTCCTGGGTTCAAGTGATTATCCTGCCTCAGCCTCCCGAGTAGCTGGGATTACTACTACTGGTAGTAGTAATGGCGCCCGCCACCACACCCAGCTAATTTTTGTATTTTTAGTAGAGACAGGGTTTCACCATGTTGGCCAGGCTGGTCTCCAACGCCTGACCTCAATTGATCCGCTTACCTCAGCCTCCCAAAGTGCTGGGATTTCAGGTCTGAGCCAGTGCACCCGGCTCTTTGTATATTTTAGATAAAAGTCTTTAATCAGATGGGACTTTTGCAAATATTTTCATTCTCTTGCCATTGCCTTTCACAGAGAAGAAGTTTTTAATGTTAATGAAGTTCAGCTCATCAATTATTTCCTTCATGGATCATGCCCTTGCTATTGTATCTAAAATGTCATCACCATACTCAAGGTCATTTAGATTTTCTCCTATATTATCTTCTGGGAGTCTTACAGTTTTGCATTTTATTGAGGTTTATGATTCATTTTGAGTTTTTATGAAAGGTATAAGGTCTGTGTCTAGATTTTTTTTTTTTTTTTTTTTTTTTTTTTTTCCTTGTGGATGTCCGGTTGTCCCAGCGTCATTTATTGAAAACACTATCTCTGCTCCATTGTGTGGCCTCTGCTGCTTTGTCAAAGATCAGTTGACACATTTATACAGGTCTATTAGAAATATTACTTTTAATATTCTGGGCTCTCTATTCTGTTCCATTGATCTATTTGTCTATTCTTTTGCCAGTATCATGCTGCTTTCATGACTATAGCTTTAGAGTAAGCCTTGAAGTCAGGTGGTATCAGTCCTCTGACCATTCTCCATCAATATTGATTTGGCTATTTTGGATCTTTTGCCTCTCCACATAAACTTTAGAGCCAGTTTATCCATATCTACAAATAACTTCCTGGGATTTTGATTAAGATTGTGTCATTATGTAGAATCTGTAGATCAAGTTGGCTATCTTGATCTGCTGCTATCTTGATAATATTGAGAACTGCTATCTTAATAATATTGAGTCTTCTGGCCTGTTGTGCTGGCGCACACCTATAATCCCAGCACTTTGGGATGCCGAGGAGGGTGGATCACCTGAGGTCAGGAGTTTGAGATCAGCCTGGCCAAAATGCCGAAACCCTATCTCTACTAAAAATACAAAAAAAAATTAGCCAGGCGTGGTGGTGTGTGCCTGTAATCCCAGCTACTCATGAGGCTGAGGCAAGAGAATTGCTTGAACCCGGGAGGCTGAGGTTGCAGTGAGCTGAGATGGTGCCACTGCACTCCAGCCTGGGTGACAGAGGGAGACTCCATCTCAAAAAAAAAAAAAAAAAAGAGTCTTCCTGTTCATAAACATAGAATGTCATCCCATTTATGAAGTTCTTTGATATCTTTCATCAGAGTTTTATAGTTTTTCTCATATAGATCTTGTACATATTTTGTTACATTTACACCTCAGTATTTCATTTTGGGGGATGCTAATGTAAATGGTCATATGTATTTAATTTTATTATTCATTTTTCTTTTTTTGTTTCCTGTCTTGCTCAAATATTTTTAATTCTAAATTCCAATTGTTCTTTGCTGGCACACACGAAAGCTGTTGACGTTAGGACACTAACCTTATATCATGAAACTTGTCTGAAATTGCTTCTTTGTTCTGGGGTTTTTTCCTTTTGTCAACTCTTAGATTTTTTAACATAGATGATTGTGTCATCTGTGAACAAAGCAGTTTTGTTTCTTCCTTTTTATTCTGTATACCTTTTATTTCCCTTTTGTGTCTAGTTGCATTGGCCAAGACCTCCAGCAGGATGTTGAGAATCGATGGTGAGAGGGGACGTTCTTGCCTTGTTACTAATCTTAGGGGAAAGCATCTAATTTCTCACCGTTAAGGATGATGTTAGCTGTAGGTTTTTGTAGATATTCTTTTATTTATTTATTTATTTATTTATTTATTTATTTATTTATTTTTTGAGACAGAGTCTCACTCTGTCACCCAGGCTGGAGTGCAGTGGTGTGATCTCGGCTCACTGCAATCTCCGCCTCCTGGGTTCACACCATTCTCCTGCCTCAGCCTCCCAAGCAGCTGGGACTACAGGCGCCCACCACCACGCCCAGCTAATTTTTTGTGTTTTTAGTAGAGATGGGGTTTCACCGTGTTAGCCAGGATGGTCTCGATCTCCTGAACTCGTGATCCGCCTGCCTCGGCCTCCCAAAGTGCTGGGATTACAGACGTGAGCCACCATGCCTGGCCGATCATGTGATTTTTCTTCTCTAGCCTGTTGATGTAACGGATTGCATTAGCTGATTTTTGAATATTGAACCAGTCTTGCATACCTGGGATAAATCTCTGTTGGTAATGGCCTATAATTCTTTTTACATATTGTTGAACTGTATTTGCTAATATTTTGTTGGTAATTTTTGCATCTATGTGAGATATATTGGTCTATAGTCGTCTTGTAATGTCTTTGTCCCGTTTTGGCATTAGGGTGACAGTGACAAATGACTTAGGAAGTATTCCTCCTGCTTCTATCTTCTGGAAAAGATTGCAGAAAATAGGTATTATTTCCCCTTAAATATCTGCTAAAATTCACCAGCGAACTCATCTGTGCTGTGTGCTTGCTTCTTGATAAATGAATGCTGTGACTGCAGTTTTGTATGGAGACTTCATTACATTCCACTTTGGGCCATATGAGGGTAAAGCTACAGCTTTGTATGTAGGAGAGTGGCTTCACCTATTGGGAGAAGTCATTCTCCATGTAAGTTTGGAGTCTGCTCAGATCAAAGACTGTGAAGGTTAATATTGAGTGTCAACTTGATTGGACTGAAGGATGCAACGTATTGTTCCTGGGTGTCTCTCTGTGAGGGTGTTGGCAATGGAGACTAATATTTGAATCAGTGGACTGGGAGAGGCAGGCTCACTCTCAGTCTGGGTGGACACAATCTAATCAGCTGCCAGCATAGCCAGAATAAAGCAGGCAGAGGAATGTGGAAGGATTACACTGGCTAAGTCTTCCAGCCTTCATCTTTCTCCCGTGCTGGATGCTTCCTGCCCTCAAACATCGGACTTCCAGTTCTTCAGCTTTTGGACTCTTGGACTTACACTGGTGGTTTGTCAGGGGCTCTTGGGCCTTCTGCCACAGACTTAAGGTTACACTGTCGGCTTCCCTACTTTTGAGATCTTGGGATTCAGACTAGCTTCCCTGCTTCTCAGCTTGCAGACAGCCTATTGTGGACCTCACTTTGTGATCGTGTGAGTCGATACTCCTTCATAAACTCCCCTTTATATATACATCTATCCTATTAGTCCTGACCCTCTAGGGAACCCTAATACAAAGATTATATATATATTCTTTATATATATATATATATATATATATATATATATATATATTCTTTATATATATATATATATATATATTCTTTATATATATATATATATATATATATATTCTTTATATATATATATATATATATATATTTTTTTTTTTTTTTTTTTTTGAGACAGAGTCTTGCTCTGTTGCCCAGGCTGGAGTGCAGTGGCACAATCTCAGCTCACTGCAACCTCCGCCTCCTGGGTTCAAGAGATTCTCCTGCCTCAGCCTCCTGAGTAGCTGGGATTATAGGCGTGTGCCACCATGCCCAGCGAATTTTTGTATTTTAGTAGAGACAGGGTTTCACTATGTTGGCCAGGCTGGTCTCAAACTCCTGGCCTCAAGTGATCTGCCCGCCTTGGCCTCCCAAAATGTTGGGATTACAGGCGTGAGCCACCGTGCCCAACCAAAGATATTCCTTTGGGAGCTTCCTTCAACAGCACTTACCCACCCGCAAGAATGAGCTTGAACACCTGCTTTGCACCATGTGACCTCCTTTCTGACCCCATGACTACATTTTATTGGACCAGGCATAAACAACTGATGTAAATTGGACCAGTCAGATTCTCTCTTCAGGGATTTGGGATTTAGAACTAAGAGGCAGCTACCTAGTTTCTGCATAAAGTTGGAATTGAGATTTTCTAGACACAGGAATTGTGGACCAATTGTGTTGGAGTTATTACACCAGATAGGTGTAAAAGTCCCGCCTGCTGAGAGGATTCTGTGGAAGCTGATCAGGTTGCTGGGGCAAGTGGAGGCAGGGTAGAGGTGAAGGGCTGTGGGATGGAGAACCTCAGAAGACTCCATCTGGGGTCCGGGAAAGGACAGAGAGGGTATATGAGGGGTCGGGCCCTCCAGATCTAAGGGTGGGGTGGTGGCATGTTTCTTGAGTTGGTTCCTGGAAAGGGAGCTGAAATGGTTTAATCGCTCTTCCATGAAACGCAGGCGGTGGGGACAGCCACCAGACAGGTAAACACACTGTGCATTGATCCTTTTACGACTTTTGTGAAACTGATGGACAGGCAGGCAGGGAGGGGTCCTGGGAGAGAGTCTGGGGCACTCCATCTTGGGGTAACTCTTTCGCTCTCCTCCTTAGCGGGCAAAGCTTTGGCCTGTGCTGGGGTGGGGGAAGAAGAAGGTGATGTGGAGCATGAAGCAAGGTTGGGGTGGAGCAACTGAGGGTTTCCAGCATGGGTAACCGGGCTGATTAGGACTGGATCCAGCTGCCCCTAATGCTCCACTGCTGCCCAGCACTTAACCTCCACACTCTGTGCCCTCTGATGGTTGGGAGAAGTCTGTGTCCAGCCCTTCGGCCACCAGAAGAAAATCAGGAATGGAATTCCTGGTTTTGAAGACACAAAAAGTCAGAGAGACTTTATTTAAATAGAGTTAATTTGAAGTAAACCAGAGAGTTTTGTGTGCAGAAGCATTTTGCTTAACTTAGGGCCATCACCACATTATGAACTCGTGTGTGTGTGTGTGTGTGTGCACGCGCGCGTGCACAGGCTAGTGTCCTTCTGTGGGTGTGTCTGCGTGAGGACCCATCCATGCATGTTTGATCTTTATGGCCTCCCCCTGTGCACCTGCGCCTATGGATAAGGTATAGTCTTGTCTTGATTCCCAGTATTCATTCTCCTTGAAGAATCCTGACAGCCTTCAGTCACCTTCCCTTTTCCAGTCTCCCAAAAGCAATGGCGCCTTAAATGTGCGGTAAGGATGAGGTGAGTCTTGAGGTAGCCTAGGCCACAGCTGCCCCTTCAAGGCAAGGCCTCAGCTGAGTTCAGGAAATAGGAGAACCTGGCCCCGGAGCAACCCCAGAAGCGCAGGACCACGAACGTCCCGACCCCCAGCAGCAAGAGGCCGCCCAGGGCCCCAAAGAAGATGCCGAAGAACGCGTCGAGTTTCATGCTCAGGTGCTCACAGTGCTCGCCCCAGGCCGTGTAGATGGAGAAGGACACACAGCTGGTGACCAAGAGAGACAGACAGGCGGTCAGAGGCGGGAGCTCAGCCTCCCAGCCCCTCCTCTTCTGCTGGGGAAGAAGAGGTTCTGTAGGAGAGGCTGGGCTCGCCCCACTCTCCGGAGAGACTGAGTCAGCCCTGAGGCCGTGCTGAAGTGAGACCACTGGGCAAAGGAGGCAGGTGTGGGCTTTAAAAACATGGGCCTGGGCCGGCGCGGGGGCTCACGCCTGTAATCCCAGCACATTGAGAGGCTGAGGCGGGCGCATCACTTGAGGTCAGGGGTTCGAGACCAGACTGGCCAACACGGTGAAACCCCATCTCTACTAAAAATACAAAATTAGCCAGGCGTGGTGGTGCGCACCTGTAATCCCAGCTACTCAGGAGGCTGAGGCAGAATCGCTTGAACCTGGGAGGTGGAGGTTGCAGTGAGCCGAGATTGCAACACTGCACTCCAGCCTGGGGGACAGAGCAAGACTCCGTCTCAAAAAACAAAAACAAAAACCTGGTGTGAATTCAGCTGCACGTGCAGTCAGCTGCACCTGGGCGGCAGGGATGCCGGCCACAGGTGGGCATGCGCAGTCACACCCCCGCCCCAGCCCGGCCCCGCCCCGCCCCGCCCACCCGGAGAGCCGGGCCCCGCCCCACCCGCGCTCCGCCCGCCCCCTCCTTCGGCGGGATCTGGAACTGCAGCTGGCGGAGGGCCCGGAGCCCAGGTCTGCGTGGGGCCGCGGCTTCCTGCGCTGTTAACCAGCGGAGCCCCGGGGACTGCTGGTGAGGGCAGGGGCAAAGGCGCCTCGCTTGACTGAGGGGCAGGACTGGCCTAGACACAGGACCGCAGGTTCTTTTCCCACAAGGAGACAGCAGGGAAGCAGCAGCCAGATCAGGTGGGAGGGTTTGACTTTGGGCCCTGGCGCGGTGGCTCACGCCTGTAATCTCAGCACTTTGGGAGGCCAAGGTGGACGGATCACCTGAGGTCAGGAGTTCGAGACCAGCCTGACCAACATGGCGAAACCCCGTCTCTACTAAAAATGCAAAAATCAGCTGGGCGTGGTGGTGCGTGCCTGTAGTCCCAACTACTCGGGAGGCTGAGGCAGGAGAATCGCTTGAACGCGGGAGAAGGACGTTGCAGTGAGCCGAGAACGCACCACTGCACTCCAGCCTGGGCGACAAATGACACTCCATCTCAAAACATAAAAATATAAAAAATGTTTGGCTTTGGAAACCATGCCCTGCTGCTTAACCTACTGCGTCCTGGGGCAGGTTCCTTGTCATCTCTAAGCTGCAGTTTTCTCATCTTCGAAATAGTTCTAAGCCCCCCTATGGCTCTTTTGGGTTTCAGAGTTTGTAATATAGCGCCTTTATTCTCCACACAGAGCAGGCACTCACAACTCTCCTTTTCCACTGTCCTCTCTTCCCTGGTCTCTGATCTCTCGAGCCATCCTAATTCCTGGACCCCTTGCAGTGTCTTGCCCAGCTTGGGTTCCCCAGCACTGTCCTCCACCTCCTGGCCACAGCCCTATGCACCTGCAGCGGGGCCCACTGGGCAGGTGTTGGCACTGGCCTCCATGGTCACAGTAGCCCCTACTGCACGGGGACACGCAGGTGAAGCCGCTCTGGGGGCTGTAGACCAGGTCGTAGCCCTTGTAGCCATCGCATCTGAAGTAAGCCTTCAGCGTGCTCACGTTCACTGTCGGGAAGGACACAGATTAACACAGAAAGCAACCGATGAACACTAAATCAGTACCTTTTCAGCCACGAATTCCTTTTCGGGTGTTTATCCTGAGAAATAATTGGAGAAGTGCACAGATACATATGCCCCTGGACGTTCAGATCAGTGTGGTGGATAATAGTAACGTTTCAGAAGTAGGGTCTGGTTAAATAAACTACTGCACATCCTTACCAAGGGATGGTGCTTCCTATGGAAAAAGTTTCCTAGGGAAAAAGTTTCCTAGGGAAAAAGGTTCCTGTGGAAAAAGGTTCCTATGGAAAATGCTTTCCTGAAGAGCACATGCTTTGAAGGTGGCCAGACTTGGGTGGAAACTGAAACTCTGCTAGTAACTAGATGTGTAATTCAGGGAACATTCCTTCACTCTTTCAGCTTCAGTTTCCTTATCTTTAAAAGGAAATGATCATAATAGCACTTATGCTGCTGTGAGATTTAAATGAGATAATGTGTCCACAGTACTCAGTACAGTGCCGGACACACAGTAAGCACTCAAACAATGGTAATGATTATTATAATGTATTTTAAAATATGACACTATATTCAAACATACCATCATAATATGTCAAATGGGAATGTGGACAGAATATATGAGACAACCTGTTCACAACTGTTTAATGAGGAGGTTTTCCAACATTAGGAATGATTTGATCCTTCAGTAAAAAATGGATGTCTGAAGGTTCCTAGGCATAAAAGAAAGTTCAGAAGGATATGTAGGAAATACTGTTGTCTCTCTGGGGATTGGGATTACAGGGTTTTTTTCCTCTTTTCTTTTTGTTAAGTTTGTGTTTCCTAAAGTTTCTGCAATAAACATACGATGCTTGTATAATAAAAATTATAGGTTTTCCTTAATTGCATAGTCAGGGCTTGCCTCCCTGCGCCTCCTACCCCAACTCCCCAACATACAGTAGTTCTGAGGGATTTCACCCCCTGCTCCGGGAGAGAGCGGGCTTAGCCTGGATTCTGGGAGAAGCTCTTGCTTGGTCCCAGACCCAAGTAAAACAGCAGTTCCTGTTGTGTTTGGGGCGGCCCCTGCCCTGTTCTCTGCCCTATACAGAAAATAGGACGTGTTATTCCTTTGTTTCTCTGACAAGCTTGCCAACTTATTCCTGTTCCAGGAAAACCGGGGGCTGTCAGCACTGAAAGGGGGCTCAGAAATCCCATCTCATTTTCAGATGGGGGTGCTGAGGCCTGGCCTGGGGAAGGTGCTTGGGGAGTGTTGAGGCCTGGCCTCGGGGAGGTGCTGGGGGGTGTTGAGGCCTGGCCTGGGGAAGGTGCTGGGGGGTGTTGAGGCCTGGCCTGGCCTGGGGAAGGTGCTGGGGGGTGTTGAGGCCTGGCCTGGCCTGGGGAAGGTGCTTGCACAGGGTGACACCATTTCAGGGAGTAGTTGCCTCTGTCCCTGGCCAGTCTCCAGTCTCCAGCTTCATATCCTCCCGCTGGAGAGCAGAGACGATGGGGGTGTCCCTGTGTATGCTTAAGTGCAATGGCATTTTAAGAAAACTATTAGCAATTTTATGAAACTAAATTGCTGCTGTTTTATTAGCAGCCACAGTCAGCAAGGCCCTGGCTGGGTGCTTGCTCCGTGAAGCTGTATACGTGTGACTGCCTCAGCAGTGCTGGCTGCTCCTGCTCTCGAATCTAAAAAGCAGCTGGACAAAATGTTCACGTTTTCGCTCAAAACCAAACAAACAGAAAAACTCAATTAGCTTGTTTGTGTGGGCTGAAGCACCTCTGTTTGCCCGCCCCCCGCAGTGACCCCCATAGTGTCCCCGGAATGGACGGACTCACGGGCTGTCACATCGCGCACGTCTTCCCCGGAGATGGGCTGGAAGACCACGTCGTTCCTGGGCTCCTCACTCCTCCGTGGAACGTGGTATAAGAACGCCTCCACCACCGCGGCCAGCAGCTGGTTGTTCAGGAAGTCAATGACCGGGCCCCGAGGGCGGTACTGGAACTCCGAGATGACCATCCAGTGTTGGATGGGGCTTCCCGAGGCCGGTGCTGCAGAATCGCTGTGTGGGAGGGCAACGGTGAGGGGGGGTGGGGGGCTGGGGGTGGGGGATGAGGAAGAGATCTGGGGGCTTAGGGGGACACAGTCCCACTTACATTCGTTCCACTTGGCTGTTGCGGAGAAAGGCCCGCATGTCCAGGGTCCCCAGTCTGTATGCCACCTAGGTTAGAGGATGGCAGATGGGGGTGGGGGTGAGGCCCCATCCGGGGGGGAGACGCCCTCCCACCTTGATGGGTGTATTCATCCCTGTTTCCTCCTGGAACGGGAGCCCCAGGACCCCAGCACCTTCCTCACCTGTCTCTGCACCCTTGCACTCTAGCCTAGCTCAGTGAGTGTCATGGGTCCTTGCTTAATAATGTTTGTTGAGAGTGAAGGGTTTTCCATTCTGTCCCCCCCTCAGCCTCATATGACGAGCAGAGAATCTGACATGAATGGCCCCTACCTTGCCTCTGACACATGACTCATGACCTCCTCCCCAGTATATTGAACATGGGTTGTTTAGACCTAGGAGATGGTCGGGGCTGGGGGTGTCAAGGTGACTTAGGTGGAGTCTAAACTCAAAGAGTGCATTGTCTGGCGCAGGTGACAAATGTCAACAGATTTTACCGTGTGGAGTGTGGAGTGGGGAGTGCTAGGCTTGCAGTAGTGATAATAGCAGTCATCATGTTTGAATACTTGTGTGTCAGGCACTGGACTAAATGCTTGACACGCGTTATCATTTAAACGGTGATACGGCCTGTTGACTCAGGTGCTATGATTGTCCCTGTGTTTACAGATGACCTGTTATATGATGTGTCTAGTTAGCACACCTGCTCTAGTGAGGGGCAGAGCAGGGATTCTGATTCTGGGTGTGCAGGATTCTACAGCCCCAACCACTCAGCAGTTGTGCCACTTTGCCTGTGACTGAGGTATGGCATGGCAGCCAAGAAGAGGGAGCCGCCCGTTCCCTCTGGGAAGTCAGGGAAGACTCCCGGGAGGTGAAATGTCCTTTAGTTTCTTTCAGATCATAACCAAGATGCTTAGAGGTCTCGGCTGGGGTGACTTGGCACCCTGGCCTCTGCTTATGATGAGTCGAGGTTTCTGTCTTGGGCCTTCCTCACTTCCTAATGCCCTGCACCTCCCATGGGGCAAGAGGCTCCGGCCTCCTCTGGCAGTTGAATCCAGATGGATGACAAGATGAAGGCCGCACAGCGATGGTTCCGCCCTGGCCTGAACCCGCCAAGCGCCCCCTCCCACCCAGAGCGCGGCCTGCAGCACTGACCGAGGCGTTGACTTCTGCCATGGAGGCATTTTCCTCTTCACTGAGCAAGAGCTGGATGACTCTTAAGGGAAGTTCTGGAGATGGGAGAAGCAAATGTATCATCACCCCACGGTTTACCCAGACTTACCCAAAAAGTCTGTCGGGCCAGCCCAAGTTGACTGCTCCATTCCAGTGACAGAAGGTCACTGAAGAAACCGGGAGAAGTGGCCCTCACCCTACATTCCACAGTGACAGAAGGTCGCTGAAGAAACCGGGAGAAGTGGCCCTCACCCTACATTCCACAGTGACAGAAGGTCGCTGAGCAAACCGGGAGAAGTGGCCCTCACCCTACATTCCACAGTGACAGAAGGTTGCTGAAGAAACCGGGAGAAGTGGCCCTCACGCTAGGGCTCACTCCACTATGCTCCGGGCCTCCCCAGCGCTCATCTCACTGAGCCAGCTGTGAGGTCTCTGCCTCCGTCCTTCCTCCATAGGCCACACAGGCCCGTGGTCCTTGCCGTGACAGCTTGCCTCGCCAGCTCCCATAGCCCGCACCTTACACCATCCCAGAGAAATCTGGAGCTCTGTCCTGTGACCCCAGAGCTTCCTCATCTTCCCCAAAGGTGGGCGGAGTGCGGGGGTGAGAGGGTGGGGCCCAGGAAGAGTGCGGGGGTGAGAGGGCGGGGTCTCTGGCGGTACCTAGGTTGACAGTTGGACTGAAGTTGTTCCCAGCCAGGAAGCAGCGGCTGTCAGTGAAGGCTGGGGGGCAGGTGCACATGGGCTGACAGCCCAGAGTCTGGGAGATGTAGCAGTGGCCTTGATTGTAGCAGTAATTCACAGGGCAGGACTGGTTCTGACACAGGAAAGAGCTCCCCAGAGCTGCAGAGTGAGTAGGGAGGTCAGCAGCAGCGCGCAGGGCAGCAGAGGGACGGCCCAGCCCGTGGAAACCCGCTCCGGGACAGGCTTGCTTTCCCCCAGTGTTCCACTTCGGGCCACTCGGAACCCCAAACCATCCTTCCCCCCTTTTCCAGGCGTTTCTCTGCAGGGCAACCCCTTTCCCCGGCCAGACAGGTATTCTTCCACTTTTGTGGAGGGACTGGAGTGTTTCTCAGACCCTCTGCTTCAGAAAGGACCCCGAAGGCTGGCAGAGGAGGGGCCCCCAGCTGGCTTTCCTCACGCCCTCCCCTCTCACGTCCATCTCCTTTTCTGCCTTTATAAAAGCTGCGGTTCTACCCACTCTGGCCTCGGCTCTGAAGGCACAGTGATCTGTAGATTTTATTTGGGTGCCTTAGGGGGCTTGGTAAAGGCCTCGCTGTGATCTCCCTCATCAGACTCTGGTGACTCAGAGCGGGAGGAACAGATGGCTGGGAGGACTCAAAGGGAAAATCAGGCACCTTTGCTGCCGGATCCCCACGCCAGCCCCTCCAAACGTCCTGACTCGTGAGATGCAGAGATCCTGAGCCTCGTGTCTCTGAAGATCCCCAGGGATCCCGAGGACCCAGCTTGCCCGGTTCTCTGGCGGCTGCTGAAGTCTCCTCCCCAAACCATCTTCAGTCTTTCGCCCGGGGCTCCCCCCATCAATGCCTCAGGGATGCCCAGCCCCGTCCCCTCCCCTATGCCTGTACAACCTCTTCTCCTTCAGCCCCACACCATCCACCACCCCCTTTCCAGGCCTGCCTAGATTTCCCATACCTGCCTAGATGATTTCCCACACCTGCCTAGATTTCCCACACCTGCCTAGATTGAGCATTCTAAAGATCTGCTGGAAAAAGGAGAGAAATGGTTTGCCTTTGGCTGTCTACACCCTTGAGCTATCAGCTGCTCCCAGAAGCGCCTGCTCCAGGCCCTGTTCCCGGCTCACCCGCACAGTGCCGCCCATCCCCAGTCAGGTTTGGAGGGCAGGCCTCGCAGCCCTTCCCAGGAACGCAGTGGACACTCGGGAAGCACGGCTCCTCACAGGCATCCTCGGAGCCCTCGCAGTAGCGGCCGAAGGTGCCCCCGTCACACTTGCAGCCAGCCACCTGGAGGAGGGTTGCCGATCACGGGCGGCCAGGAGACCAAACTGGGAAGGGCTTCTGGGTGTTTCTGACTGACCCCTTTGGCCTGAGAACCCGTGGACCCTGAGTCATGTCTCAGCCCCACCAGCACCTGCTGAGCACCTTCTTGACCAGGCCGTGGGGCGGCAAGGCCCTGCCTAAAGCCACACGGTAGTCCTGCCCAGCTGGCCTCCCTGGGTCATTGTTTACCCTGACCCCCTGCCTGGCCCTGCACCAGGATCTCAGCCTCTTCCCTCTCACACTCTAGCTCTTTGCCTGAAATCCTTTCTAGAGTAAGATGGGGGATGCATGAATGATTGAAGCATGAATGAATGAATGAATGTATCCATGTATAGATGTATGTATCCATGTATGTATGTATCCATGTATGTATGTGTGTATCCATGCATGTATGCATGTATGTATCCATGTGTGTATCCATGTGTGTATGTATCATGTATGTATCCATGTAGATATGTATCAATGTATGTATCCATGTATGTATCCATGTATGTATGTGTGTGTCATGCATGTATGCATGTATCCATGTATGTATCCATATGTGTGTATCCATGTGTGTATGTATCCATGTGTGTATGTATCCATGTATGTCCTATTGCTTGAAAACTGGATTCCTTATTTATTTTGAGACAGGGTCCCACTCGGTTGCCCAGGCTGGAGTGCAATGTCTTGATCTTGGCTCACTGCAAACTCCACCTCCCAGGTTCAAGCCATCCTCCCACCTCAGCCTCCCGAGGAGCTGGGGCTACAGGCATGCACCACCACGCCCACTAATTTTTGTATTTTTCTTCTGCTTTTTTTTTTAATGAGACAGTCTCGTTCTGTTTCCCACGCTGCAGTGCAGTGTCTCGATCTCGGCTCACTGCAATGTCCCCCTCCCAAGTTAAAGCAATTCTTGTGCCTCAGCCTCCCAAATACTTGAGATTACAGGCATATGCCACCACGCCCAGCTAATTTTTTGATTTTTAGTAGAGACAGGGTCTTGCCATATTGCCCAGGCTGGTCTCAAAGTCCTGAGCTCAAGCAATCCGCCTGCCTCAGGCTCCTATGTGGCCTGCAAACTGGATTTCATATAAGCTGAAATTGACCTCCCTTGCTGACTCCCAAACCAAGAAGACAGAGCCTCCCTGCTGAGCACTGTGAGAAAACACAGCAGCCAGTACAGCAGCTCAGCAAAGGCTGCGGCGCCGAGACCTCACCAAGCTCCCTGCGCTCCCCTTTCTAACTCCCTTACTGAAGCGACTCGGGGAATCTCCCTAAAATGGAATCCTCTAACACTTGCTACTCCCAAGAGTGGATATTTGGGGATCTGTGGAATAGTATATTGATTTCAATCTCTTTTTCCCATTGTGTATTTTATGCTTTTCTACCCCCTACCCCACCAACCGTCCCTACCTCTATCCCTTTCGAGTACCCATTCTCTGCTCATGCTTCAGAAGGATGTGTGTGTGTGTCTGTGTGTGCGTGTGCATGCGTGTGTGTGTAAGTGGTGAAGGAGGTAGTTTTGTGTTGCCAGATAAACACTTTCCTTTCTGGCTCTTCCTTTACAACCAAAAATAAAAATAAAAAAGCAGATAGGACAAGAGTCGTGGAATTAGGCCAAGTATCTTGGCTAGAAACATGGAGAAGTAGTTTCTCCAAACTGGAAAAGATGTTTCTTTTAGCTGGAAGGAGATAGTAAAAGAGAAAGCAAAGGGGCTTGGAGGTGTCAAGATAGAGGGACCCGCAGCTCTCTTCCCAGCACCGTGATGATGACATCCTAGGGAGAAATGACTGTGGGGTGCTTCTAGGCAGACAGGACTGTAAGCGGCCTCAGAAAAGGTGTCCTGTGTCTGAGCAAGGCACAGAAGCAGCAGAGCCTCTCCCTGGGTCTGAAGGGGAAGTGGGGCGGAGCTGTGATGGAAACCTGTGTGGACTCACGCCCAGGGACCCACAACCACCTTCCACCCCACACCGCAGGGCCCTCTGCTGGGCTTCGCCGCAGAGCTGTGGGGCGCTGTGAGAAAGACGGAGGTGGAAGTTTCCTGCCAACCTGGCAGAAGGGGAGGTGGGAGATAAAAATCCAGTTGAACTATAAGCAATAAAGTAAGGTTCTTTCCTCTTTCCTTCCTTCCTTCCTTTTTCTTTCTTTCGTCCTTCTTTTTCTCCAATATAGTTTCTTTCTTTCTTTCTTTTTCTCCTTTCCCTTTCTTTCCTTTCCTTTCTTTCCTTTCCTTTCTTTCCCTCCTTCTTTCTTTCTTTTCTTTTCTTTTCTTTTCTTTTCTTTCTTTTTGACATAGAGTCTCACTCTGTTGCCCAGGCTGGAGTACAATGGCGCAATCTTGGCTCACTGTAACCTCCACCTCCCGGGTGCAAGCGATTTTCCTGCCGCAGCCTCCCGAGTAGCTGGGACTACAGGCGCCTGCCACCACGCCCAGCTAATTTTTGTATTTTTAGTAGAGATGGGGTTTCACCATGTTGGTCAGGATGGTCTCGATCTCCTGACCTTGTGATCCGCTTGCCTCAGCCTCCAAAAGTGCTGAGATTAAAGGCGTGAGCCACTGCACCCGGCCAGAAAGTTCTCTTTCTTCCCATGTGAGTTTGTGGCCTGAGACTGGAATCTGCTCTACTCACCTACCACTGCTCCACCCATCTCCCAACACAGACACACCCAGGACAGGCAGAATCACAGCATCCATTCCACTCCCATTTCCTCTCCCCTCGGCACAGAAACTCCTCCCCCACCTCCCAACACTCACCTCCAGGGAGGAGTTGCCCACCCTGCTGGTCTGATTGTACAAACACTGGCTCTCTGCATTGCAATGGCAGACCACAGTCCTGGGCTGGAGTGCAGATGCCAAGCCAATCTTGGCACTTCTTGCTAGAATCTCCAGAGTGAATGGCTCCAGCGACTTGGGTGTCCACAGCAACGTCCCATTCTCTGCCCCGGGGAAGATGAGAATGTTGAGAGCTGGGAGACTCCTCGGCTCTGTGGTCTGATTGCTGATACGGGGCTTCCCCCACCCCTCTCAGGCCACCCTCCCCCTCCCCAGACAAATCTCATTGGTCATTTCCTTTGAGCAAGGCTGGTATCGGGGGTGATCCTGGTCACGCTCCCAGCTGGAAGGACGTGGCACCAGTCCAACATACTGATTGTAGCGGGGAACGCCACAGAGGGGAAAGCAGTTTCCTCCTGAAGAAACCCCAAAGGGCAGCCCTGGCTGGGCTCACACCAGGATGGGACATCCTGGGGGATGGAGGATCAAGGCCAGGATCCTCCAGACACCTCCCCAGGCTGCGCTGCCGGCCAAACTGGCTTCACTCTCACGGCAGCCCCATCCTTTGCCCTGATTTCTCACCCACCCCCCACTTCCTGGACCTTTCCCAGACACCCCCTTCAGACACCAGACTGTAGTGAAACACTACTACATATCTTCAGATCAAACTGATATTTTTCAAGAAAATAGGAAAGTCTCCTTAAAACAGCAGATTGAAAGGAAGTGACAGAGAATAGACGAACGTAATTTCCAGACCATCGTCCTTCAGGGGTGGGGCCCGTGGAGAAGAAAACCTCTCAGTGCCATTGTCTCGCACCTGGGAGGACGCACATGGGGCAAAAGGGATGCAGGCAAAGCAGTCCCTTCTGAGACACAGAGAGAAAGAACATCAGGCAGAGAGGCAAAGAGAACGCAAAATATGCCCCCCGGGGCTTTGGTTTAGCCAAGAACAGTCACCCTCAGAATTAGTGCTGGCAACAGACAGAAAGTGGCATCCCTTTGATGCCCTTGGACCCTTTGAATTAGTGCTGGCAACAGACGAAAGCAGCGTCCCTTGTGCTTGGAGCCTTTGGCCCTGATCATGGATGTAGGGCTCGGGGTCTCTAACACCTTTACGGAGAGGGAGCGATGGCACTCTACTGGGTCCTAGCCCAGGAAACCAGACAAGGAGAGACACGGCTAGGTAAACATGGTTGCCAGACAAAAAGAGCAAGAAAGGTACCAAACGAAAGTATTTTTCATATTTCTTTAAATCTTGTCCTACATTAGAGCCTTCCTTTAATAGATATAAAAATGTTGTAAATTGGTCATTTTAAATGTTGCACTTGATTATTCTAATAATTTGGTGAATGCATAATGACTAAAGATGACTATATATGATCAGATTGAGATTAAATGATCTTCAAATCTTTTTTTTGAGACAGAGTCTCGCTCTGTCACCAGGCTGGAGTGCAGTGACGCGATCTCAGCTCACTGCAACATCTGCCTCCTGGGTTCAAGCGATTCTCCTGCCTCAGTCTCCTGAGTAGCTGGGATTACAGGCATGCACCACCATGCCTGGCTTTTTTTTTTTTTTTTGTATTTTTAGTACAGACGGGGTTTCACCATGTTGGCCAGACTGGTCTCGAACTCCTGACCTCAGATGATCCGCCCACCTCGGCCTCCCAAAGCGCTGGGATGACAGGCATGAGCCACCGCGCCCAGCCTTGAATCAGTTCTATGTGCCCAGAGTCACTCTAGCTATCTGGCCAAACCGCCGTAAGCCCGTCACTACTACTTACTGGGGGGCACCTATTTGAGTTATAGATATCGCTCCTCGGAAATGCCGGTCCTGGATATTCAAATGAAAGAGTGACAGCAAGTGTTGCTGGGTGTAGCAATGCAGAATTTCCCAAATTTGACTCTGACCTCATCCCCTACCCACCTCCCCACTCTCCCCAGCCAGCCAAATAGTCCTACCAAAGAGCTCCAAGTCGGTGCAGCTGTCTCTGAGCGTGAAGTTGGCATCCTCAGCATTGCTGGTGTACTGAATCAGCGTGGTCTGCCCCTTGTAGGCTTCAATCACACGACCACCATTGATGGAGGGCGGGTACTGATCTGAAACACAAAGAGGGAATGGGGGTTCCGAGGCAGGACAGTCTCCTGCTTTATCAGCCTCCTCTCTTTCTCAACTCTAATATGTGTGAGGCATTCCCAGGACTGTGACCCACCTCTGGAAGAAGGAATTATTCTGTGTACCTGCTCTCGACTGACGCACAGCAGGCTGGGACTGTACTGCCCACCTAGCCAAATCTTTAGCCTCTTTCTCTCCCCCCACCTCCTCAAAAAGAGCTCCTTTCAGATTCTTTCCTGAACACAGTGCTATGCTGGGTATGACAAAAAGTGAATTAGAGAGCAGATTTGTTTGGACCATTACAAAGGGTTGTACCCTTAGACCAAAGGGTTGTACCTTTGGCAAAGGGCTGAAAACCTGAAGGGTGCTGGGTGTCTCATGTCTGTAATCCCAGCACTTTGGGAGGCCGAGGCCGGTGGATAACCTGAGGTCAGGAGTTCGCGACCAGCCTGACCAACATGGTGAAACCCTGTCTCTACTAAAAATACAAAATTAGTCAGGCATGGTGGCGGGTGCCTGTAATCTCAGCTATTCAGGAGGCTGAAACAGAAGAATCGCTTGAACCCGGGAAGCAGAGGTTGCGACGAGCCGAGATCACGTCACTGCACTCCAGCCTGGGCAACAAGAGCGAAACTCCGTCAACACACACACACACACGCACAAAACCTGGAGGGTCACATCTAAAGGGACATTGCATTTGTCCAGAAATAGAGAGGGAGTGAAACCTCTTCACGGGTCTGTTTCTCGGAGCCCTGCCATTTCCATTTCATAGTTGCTTCACACATTCATTCAGTCAGTCATTTAACAAACATTTATTGAGCTAAGTGGCTGGCACTGTTCTGGGTGGTGAGGATACAGTCATGAATGAATAATTAAAAAGATACCTGTGAAAATTATAAAATATGTTGAGTAATTATAAATGCTAAGGAGAAAAAAATAAAGCAGGGAAGGCAAACATGAAGTGTGGGTGAATGTGACATTTTAGACAGGGCGGCCAAGAGAGGCCTCACCAAGGAGGGGACATTGGAATGAAGACGTAAAGAAGGTGAGGGGCAAGCGTGTGGCTGTCCAGGGAAGGAAGGGTATTCCAGGCAAGAGAACAGCACGTGTGAAGCCTGGGAGCTGAGCGCACCTAGCGTGTTTGAAGAACACAGAGGAGCCTGCGGGGCTGGAGTGCAGGGAGCTGGGAAGGGGTCCAGCGCTAGGATGGAGTGGAGGGGGCTGGGAAGGCATCCAGCGCTAGGATGGATGGAGGGGGCTGGGAAGGGGTCCAGCGCTAGGATGGAGTGGAGGGGGCTGGGAAGGCGTCCAGCGCTAGTATGGAGTGAAGGGGGCTGGGAAGGCATCCAGCGCTAGGATGGACGGAGGGGGCTGGGAAGGCGTCCAGCACTAGGAGAAGAGCTCTGAGAAGCTGAACTGGGCCGAAGGCCACTGCAAGGATGGAGAGAGCCAGGGAAGTCTCTGAAGGGTTTGAGCAGAGGAATGCCAGGAGTGGAAGAATCTGCTCAGTGAATGCAGATGCACAGGGAAAAGCAGGGTCAGGCAAGGGCAGCTCCTCATCTGCTCCCGACTCTGAAAAGGCCTCCCCAGGCCTCGGGCCACTTACTGAGGGTGGCGTTCGCCTGCTCGTAGTTTTTACTGACTTCCCTCGTGTGAAGTCCGATGCTTGCGTTGCGCAGGGCCAGGGTGTCATAGATGCATGAGCTATCTCCGTCACAGTTGGAGATCAAATGTTCAGCCCAGGAGCTGTTTTTTTGCAGTTGTGAGTAGAAAACAGGGGTGAAGTTGGAAGGCAGCTGGTCATTCCTCTTGCCAAGGAGGCCTGTCCCGTTGATCTGCCCTGTAACACACAGAGCGCGGTGGTACCAGGCATGGCACTCAGCCTTATTCCATCTGTGTCCACCTCTACCCCTCACTTTAGATGGCTTGGAGCGGGGCGGTGGGAGTGCAGGGCCAGAGCGGTTTCCAGCTTCTGAGTCTAGAAACACCTGCTGCAGTGAGAGAGGACACTCCACGTCCCCCATTCTCTCCTCCAGGTAGAGAGAGGCAGGTGGGCTGGTGGTGGTGGGGACAGCCCTGGGGGGGCACAGATTCCTCAGACCTTAGGGAGGATGGAGGTCTGCTTCCTACAGGGCCGAGGGGGACGACATAAACATACCGGCTCCCCTCACCTGCCCCTCTGCCCCAGGACCCTGCCCAGACTCACAGGTCATTCCAAAGTGGAAAAGCATCTCCTCAGGGCTCCCTGGGGGAATGGTGGAGCCATTGGGCATCCTGAAGTCGTCCTCTGGATTGTTATTCCAGACCCCTGAGGGACAGAGTGGGAGGTTGGCCACCCTGGGCACGCGGCTGTCCCCTTCCTGGGGAGCATCCGGCGGACGCAGTGGGGAGAGGCCAGGGCCTGGCAGCCTCTGCTCTTGCACCTGCTGTCAGGCCTCCAGGGGAGCCGGGAGGACGGGCCCTCACACCCTGCCCGTCTGCCTTCGGGAGGGGCGGGAGGAAACGCGGGCAGCGGTGGAGGAGGGCGGGAGGATGTGGGAGGCAAGAGGAAAGGGAGAAAGGATGGCTGTGCCCCCCGCCTCCCCGCAGCCCCCCCTGATGCTCCCTTAGAGCGGGCGGAGGACAGGAAGGGAGCCTCGGGGGAGGCTGGAGAAGCCCCTCGGCTCCCGGCCCGCTCTGTGCCCCAAGGGTTCTGCTCCAAGGAGGCGGAGAAAGGGAGGCCGAGCAGGGCTGCCCGGGCCGCCGGCGTGGGGGTCCGAGCTCCGGCTGGCTCCGCGGAGCCTCAGAGGCAGGTCCGAGCCGCCCTCACCCAGGAGCCCCTCCGTGCGGTTCTGGTACTCGGGCGGGAGGCTGGCGGAGGCGTGGAGGATGTTGGAGAGCGCGATCACCGAGACGGTGGCCCAGCCGTCGAAGCTGGCCGAGACCTCAGAGCCGTTGCGGCTCAGGAGGACTCCGGTGGCGTTGAACGTCTCCTGGCCTGGAGCATCGGGAGGCAGCGGAGAGGAAGCCAGGTCGGCACCACGGCCCGCACCAAACCCGCGCCCTGCCGGGCCCGCACCACCCCCACCCCGCCCCTGGGGCTGAAGCCGGGAGGGGTCTGCACTGGAGGCGGAGAAGAGGCCGGCGAGCTGCACGCCCCGCTCGGGGGTAGAGGCTGCGCTCTCTTGGCCCTGCACCGCCACGCACCGGGCCCTGCACCGCCACGCACCGGGCCCGGCACCACAACGCACTCGGCCCTGCACCGCCACGCACCGGGCCCTGCACCGCAACGCACCCGGCCCTGCACCGCAACGCACCGGGCCCTGCACCGCCACGCACCCGGCCCTGCACCGCCACGCACCCGGCCCTGCACCGCCACGCACCGGGCCCTGCACCGCCACGCACCGGGCCCTGCACCACAACGCACCCGGCCCTGCACCGCAAAGCACTCGGCGCGGCACCGCCACGCGCCCGGCCCTGCACCACAACGCACCCGGCCCTGCACCGCCACGCGCCCGGCCCTGCACCGCAACGCGGCTTCCCGCCCACCTCGCTGCTCCCGGTGCGGGGAGGGGGCGGCCGGCGCTCCCCAACCTACCTCCGCCGTCTTCATGGTCAGGCTGAAATGTCACAGTCTGGTTATCCAGCAGGACACGGATTGCGTCGTGAGGCTCAAGGAGCCATTGGACCTGGAAGGAGATGGGAGGGGGCCTGAGCCCGACCCGCAGGTGGAGCCGACGCCCAGGAAAGCAGCTGGGAGAGCCCCTGGGGCTGGAAGCTGCGCCCTGGGCCGGGAGGAAGGCGCTGGAGGCCGCGGCCTGAGGTGATGCCAGCCGCCGTCTACCGTGTGCTCGGCAGGGCCAGGCATGGTTTTCGGATTATGCCCTTTAGCTCTTACAACAGCCCGTGAGGCAGGTAATGTCATCCCCATTCTTACTAGGAGAAAACCAAATTAAGTAGTTTCTTCGAAGCCAAGCAGCTGGGAAACCGTGGGGCCAGAGCCCTAATCCACCATCCCCAGGATTTACTCCGGGACAGCTGCGTGGATGGGCTGTGTCCTCCCTCCCTCCTGCCCGGCTTCCCCTCCTTCGCTCTCTTCCTTCTCCTCGGCCTCAGTATGTGGCTGAAGGTCCCTGTGGGTGGAATGCAGGGAGGTTCCCGGCACCCCTCACTCACCGTGACGGGGCCCAGGCTGCTGGAGCGGTACTGAGCCGCAAAGGCGATGAAGTTGGTGGCCTGGGCTGAGCCAGTCTGGGCGGTGCGGCCCTGAAGCAGGAAGGAGGAGTTCCCGTCTTGGGCCCCGACCAGCAGGAAGTCCCCCAGCCCATTGAAGGTGTAACTGACACCATCCAAGGTGGTGATGTGGGGGTCCCCGAACATCCAGGCTGGAAGGAAAAAAGAGATGCTGCCTCAGCATGACAAATCATGTGTAGGGCTGAGGTTCCTCACTGCAGTCAGGTGCGGCACTTGTCCAGGAGGACTCAGGGTGAGGTTCCTCACTGCAGTCGACTGGGGCACTTGTCCGGGCGGACTCAGCTGGGGAGATGTTCACAGAGCACAGAATCCTCCCCTCAAGCCTCCTTGCATTTTCGTGCCCCGCTATTCTCACTCCTTCCCCAACTCAGGTACAAAGCCCCTCCACTGACCATCCACCCATCACTGGCGTCATCTCCATCTTCCCTTGTGGCCACAGCTCTGCCCCTACTCCTTATCCAGATGCCACCTCCCGGAAGCCCAGAAGCTCCCCCTCCCCAGAGGCTCTTCCTGGGCCTGGGCCCTGTCGCTCACCGGGCTGTGGGGGCCTGTATGTAGCACAGCCCACGTGGGGCCGCCTCTGCTGGTACAGGGCACAGAGGTAGGGCTTGTCATTCCAGCGGCAGCACCAGCTCTGTGGCTCCAGTTCCTGGGCTGCGGAGAACAGCAGTGAGTCGGGGAGGTTGAGGACCTGGAGAAGCTTGGCAGGGCAGGGTGGTGTTGGTTGAGAGCTTGGCAGGGCAGGGCGGTGTTGGTGGAGAGCTTGGCAGGGCAGGGCGGTGTTGGTGGAGAGCTTGGCAGGGCAGGGCGGTGTTGGTGGAGAGCTTGGTAGGGCAGGGCGGTGTTGGTGGCAAGAGCATGGCTTTGGAATCCAGCATGGCCCTTCTCATGACCTTGGGCAGTGAATAGGGTGCTGTCTCTTTTGCAGGCATTGGGGCCACTGTGCAGCAGGGCGCATGGTAGGAGCTAAGCAAATTTCCTGTCTTGAGGGTGGAGAGCCAAGTACTGCTGCTCTCAACGTGCTGGGAGTGGGGAGGGCACGGCTGACGGTCTGGGAACTGTGGAAACTGCCATGGGACGGGGGAGAGAACGGGAGGACACAGACCACGTGACCCCACACCCCTGCGCTCTCCAGCTCCCTTGGAGCGTCTCTGTGGGAGCTGACTCTCAGTCTTCCCCCAAACATCCTGCTCATCTGGGTCTACAGGGACGGGGTCAGCCTAGGCGCTCTCTTCTTGCCTGGAGAAATGGCCCCACTCTGGCCTGGGGATGTGGAGCCAGGTATAGAGATGAGGAAAGAGGCTCTCAGCTCATACATCCCCGAATGTCCGCTGGTGGGGATGTTGGAAGCTTCCTAACGTTACCCGATCAGGAAGTGGAGGCCCAGAGAGGGGAAGGGTCTGGGAAGGAATGAGGACGAGAGGCTTCATGCTGAGGGTCCCCTACTTGGCCGGGAAGGTGGGGTTGAGATCACGGACTCACGCACCCAACTGCCAAGGACGCTGCACGTGCCAGCCTTCACGAAACTCTCCCCAGGGCCCGTAGCTGCAGCACACGCCTCCTCGCCAAGAGGTGAAGCTGCACAGCTGCCTACTGCCGAGGCCCCAGCGACCTGAAACAAGTCCAGTCCCACTCAGGCCCAGGCTGGGGCTGCCAGGGGCGGGGTGGGAACAAGCAGGGGCTGTTTCTGGGGAGAGGCTGAGGGCGTGAGCAGAGAGGGTGGTGGGTGGGCTTGTGGGGGGCGGGAAGGAGGTGTCACCTATGCTGACGGGTTGGAATCGTAAGTCCCGTCGTCCCTGCTGCCAGGAACAAGGGCAGGAGACCTGGTTCCAGCCCCAGCTGGGCCACCGAGGCTGGCTCTTCAGCCACTGCAGGCACTCGAGACGGTAGTTGGGCCTTTCTTCCCGGTGTAGCCTGTAGAACTGCAGCCCTTGGAGGCCTGAGGTCGGGGATGGGGGGGAAAGGGCTTATCCAGGGCTGGGGCTGCAGGCCCTGTCTCAGCTTTAGGGTCAACCAAAACTCACAAATGCACCCCCTCCTGCCACTTCTCACCTCTTTGGACCCAAGTCAGATGGGCAACAATTCCTCCCCCAAAGCCCCTCGCTTGACTTAGCGTCTGCTTCTGACGACCAAACGTGGTTGCCACAGAACAAATAGAACTGGATTTACACTTCACAGTTCACGTGGCTGGTTTCTAAGGCTAAAATGTCCTTCAACCTATCACATTTTGGAAACTATTATTTCTTTCCCATTGGGGCCTCTGGACTGAGTCATGGAGAAGGCGCCATTGTTTGCCTCTTGACGCTTGTCTTTCTACCCGCATGAAAGCTCTTTGAGAGAAAACACAGTTGGTCTTTTTCCTTTGTTTCTGGCTGTTAGCACGGTGTCCAGCACACGGCAGGTGCCCAGTAAATGATGACAATGAACGTGAGACCCCCGGGCCTCTTCTTGGTGGATTCTCTCTTTTTGAGATGGAGTCTCACTCTGTCACCCAGGCTGGAGTGCAGTGGCGCGATCTCGGCTCGCTGCAACCTCCACCTCCCAGGTTCAAACAATTCTCCTGCCTCAACCTATTGAGTAGCTGGAATTACAGGTGTGCACCACAACGTCTGGCTAATTTTTGTATTTTTAGTAGAGACAGAATTTCACCATGTTGGCCAGGCTGGTCTCGAACTCCTGATCTCAAGTGATCCGCCCACCTCAGCCTCCCAAAATGCTGGGATTACAGGTGTGAGCCATGGCGCCCAGCCGGTAGATTTTCTTAAAGGATCTCACCTGGGTTCTCATTCCTGCTCTGGACAGGACACTTGGAGTATTGTCTGAACTGCCCATTCAAATCCCACCTCCCACAAGACCCTGTCCTCACTTCCAGGATCTGGGCCCCCCGAGAGCCCTCTTGGGCTGGTTCATCTGAGGGAGGAGATGTAGCCCCCTCTGAGACTGTGCTGTGTCCAGGGGTGCAGGAGGTGCCAGCTGCTCCCTGGGTGGTGCCACATCCCACCTAGACCTGTAGGAGGTTGAACTGTGTGGGGGAGGCCCTTCAGGATGGCCGTGATGTTAGGGAGGTGCCCTCTAGGACTGCGATGGTGTATGGGCTGGAGGACACGCGAGGGCTTGAGACCAGCTCAGGTGTGATAAGGTGGCACTTTTACCTGAGTTGGAATTCAGGAATCTATCAGGGCGATACCTCTCCCACACTGGCTGGGACATCAGTGGGCTGTTTTCGAAATAGCCATCTCCACTGCAGGAAAGGAGAGACTCTCAGGCCTCTGCCGTGCACAGGCTCTTGCCTCGCGGTTGCAAGGCGTCCATTCATCCCGCTAGCCGGTCAGCAGCTGGTCAACCAGCTAGGCGGGCAGTGGGTCAGTGGGTCAGCCAGCCCCCATCGTCAAGCCCCAGCACTGAGCAGGAGAGGGGACAAGATGGCTGGGCAGAGGTAGGAGGCTCTAACCGATTCCACATCTGATCGCTAGCTGCAAGAAACTGGCAGGTCCGCTTGGTCATGAGACAGGGGCGTGAAAACAACAGAGTTCAGGCCTCATTTCTGTTTGTTTCCCTTCAACAAGCAGAGGGTTTGGAGCGGGACAGACTCTAGGGACAGTGTATTGTGATGGTTAAGACCCAGTTTCTGGAGTTAGGCAGTGATGGATTCAACTGCTGATCCCCCCACTTACTAGCTTGGTGACCACAGACAAGTTACTGACCCTCTCTGATTCTTAGTTTTCACATCTGTATAAAAGGGATTACAGTGGCATCTACCTCACTGTATTGTGAGGATTAAATGCAGTAACATCTGCAAATCCCTCAGAACTGAGTGAGGCCTTGATACAACAGATGCTGCCACTGCTGCTACCACCACCACCACCATCGCCAGCACTACCACCACCACCACCATCATCGTCACCACCAACACTACCATCACCATCACCATCACCACCACCACCACCAACACTACCACCACCATCACCATCACCACCACCATCACCATCACCACCACCATCACCATCACCACCACCATCGCCACCACCATCATCACCATCACCATTACCATTGCCACCACCATCACCACCACCATCACCACCACCACCATCATCACCATTGCCACCACCATCACCACCATCACCACCACCATCGCCACCACCACCACCACCACCATCACCATCACCACCATCACTGGCCACCCCCCAAAAAATACCACCATCGGCCACCACCACCATCACCACCACCATCACCATCGCCACCACCACCATCACCACCACCACCACCATCACCACCATCATTGCCACCACCATCATCACCACCATCACCACCACCACCACCATCACCACCACCACCATCGCCACCATCACCCCCAACACCACCACCATCACCACCATCACCACCACCATCACCACCATCACCATCGCCACTGCCACCTCCACCGCCACTACCACCACCACCACCACCACCACCACCACTATCGCCATCACCGTCCCCAGGTGTGGGGTCCGAGCATGGCCCGGGAAGGAGGAAAGCCTGGAGCAGCCGCCTGCAGCCCCACCCTGGGTGCCTGCTGCAGAGTGGGGACTCTTGGGCTTTTCCTCCTCCCTGACACAAGCAGGATGATGCACCCCTGCGTGACACCTTCCTTGGGTGTACCTGGACCGTGTGAAATTCCTAGAGTTGGGTAATTCCCCTCCTTTCTCCTTCATAGCACACCAAGAAACTAGTGAAAGCAGTGTAATCAAAGGGGTAACCTGAACACACTCAATGTAAGAGAAGACATTTGCAGCAATTATCAAGAACAAAAGACATGTGGCCTTCGTACTGATTGCCACACCCCAGCATATGGGAACAGAGATGGCGCACTGCTACATCGGAGACAGCCTCCCACACACGGGAATCCACATTTCAACCGCCCACAGCCCCGTGCCTCCTCTCTCCCTTCACCACCGGCTCCATATAAGCTTTTGGGTGCCCCCTGGATAAGTGGGTAATTCTCAGGAAGTCAGGAAGGCAGATTCTAGCCTCAGATGTCTGGGTTCAAATCTCCATGTTGCCACTTCCCAGCTCTGGGACTTTAGGCAAATTGCTAGTCTATTTGTATCTCAGTTTCCTGATCTGTAGAATGGGGATGATAAATAGTATCTGCCTCGTGGGGTGGCTGTGATCATGACATGCAGTAATGTACACGAAGTGTTAGTGTCATCAGTCTTGGCTGTTATTATCACGATATTTGAGAAGGTAAGAGAGGCCAGCTAATGTCAGTGGAAATCAGGGAAGCCAAAGCTCTGGGAATGATTACAACTCACGGGGACTGGGATGGGAAAGGGCATGGCGGACAAATGGGTGATCTTGTCGTGGGAAGCAGCCAGATGCCTGGCCCCAGCGGGAGCTGGAGTCAGCGTGAGTCAGAAGCACCAGCCAGGAGGGTTCCCGCCTTGCCCCAGGATGGGAGTGTGTGTGCAGCGAAAGCCGACTCTACACCCCTCCCTGCCAACTGCTCAGTGCTGACAGCCCCTCCCATCCTACCTAGAGAAGCCCATGAGCACCGGGTTGCCTGAGCGCTGGGCCACGTCCCACTGCATCCCACCGCTCTGGTAGAGAAACAGGGCATAGGACCTGCTCCCGTCCGTGGAGAGGATGGCTTGGTAGGTGTTGCTCTGGGGGTGGGTGGAAGAAAACACAGGGATGCCCGTGAGAGATCCGGGGTCTCCTCTCTTATGTCCCCCCGCCCGTCCCACAGCCCTGCTCTGACACGCACAGCACCTGTTCCTGGTCTGCCCACAGCAAAGACATGGGCCCAAAATGCTGGCAAGTTTTGGGTCAGTGAGGGCAGCTTTCACCCTGGGTGCGAACGCACTTACCACGGTGGATTTGCCTTTTGGTGACTTTCTTCCAGGAGGGGAGATAAAGGGTTCTGGGTTACAATTCAGTTAGATGAGTGTTTGTTAGAGAAAGCTACCAGAACCTGAGATCAGCCAAGATACCAGAGAGCTAGAGAGGAGGCTTCATTAGCTCCCGCGCGGATATTTAAGGACATTGCCCAAATTGTCTCCTCCATCTAAACAGCATGGATGACACTGGGGTTCACTGAAGGCGCACACGTTGTCCACAGTAGGTGACCAGTGAACTTTTGTCGAGTGAATGAAGAAATGAGTGACTTTAGACCAGGCATAAGGAAGAACTTGGTGACTACAAGAGCGGGGTCCTCGGAGGGAGGACAGAGGAGATGGTGTGGCGCACCCTGTGCCCGTTGGATGAGCCTGTGCTTCAGAGCCAGAGGCTGGAGTCAGAAGAAGCTCCACTCAGGCCTGGCTTTGCCATTTGCCAGTGGCGTGACTCTGAACGAGTTACTTAACCTCTCTAACCATTGTCTTCCTCATCTGTAAAATGGGGAGCATAATACCAGACTGAGCCACGTGAAATTGTGAATAGCCAGACATTTTTGACTTACAAAAATGCCACTTGCTATGTTTCAGCCTAATAATACCCGGTTTGCTGGGCTGCTGTGAGGTCAAGTAGGCAAAGGGCCGAGACAGGCCGGGCCCACGGTGAGTGCTCAGCCAACAGTGGTGGCAGTGGGGGGGTGGCGGTGGGGGGGCTTGCTATAATTAGCAATCTTTCCTAGAGCCAGAGAGGATTTTGGAAGAGTGGCCCCTGCCTAGGATTCTAGGATGTCTGACTCCCAGATAGCTCCTGGGAGCTGCCCAGGGGTCTACTCACCCCGAGGGTCCACTGGGCAGGATAGGCGTGGGCATTGACCCACGTGACCTTTAGGGCCCACCTGGCCTTGTAGCCCCCGTTGTTTGTCATCTTTCTAATCCAAGACTCGGCCTGCTGGACTAGCAGGCTGTGTTCACCATAGAACGTCTCGTATTCCTAGGAAAGGAGGGCAGATGAAAACAAGCCAACGAGGGTCCCACTCCTACACATGGGCCCCCCACTTTCTGCCTGAGGACCCTGCCCACTTCAGCCCACCCAATGGCCTGCCCTCCCCTGTCCCAGGCCTGCATTTTTGCCGTGAGCTTTTCTGAGGTGAAGTTCAATTCAAACTTGGGCTGCAGGAAGGCCTGCAGTGTGCAGAATGCAGGGTCGTGGCCCAGACGTCCAAGACCTCTGGACTTGAACTCAAGCATCTTAGCTCAAACTGGCCCAGAGAGCAGAGCCACTCGGGCCCACTTTTACCTCCCCATGCCTAATCTGCAGCTTCTTGAGAACAGGCGTGAGTCTCTTCCTCTTGGAGCCTCCACACTGCCCTGTCCGTGGCAGGGGCACGGTCCACACTTCCTGCAGTAGCTTTCATCACATTTCCTCTGATTGGAGTTATTCACCCAGTCCAGGAGCACAGGACGGGCCCTCTTGACTCACTCTTGTTAGGATAGACCCCCTACAGCCTGATTTTACAATCAAAGGCTGAATTGTCAGCCCCCATCCCCCGTCACCTGTAGGTCTTCTCGTGGCCGGGTTGGGGTATTCCTGGTCAGTCTCGCGGCCGGGTTGGGGTATTCCTGGTCAGTCTCGTGGTTGGGTTGGGGTATTCCTGGTCAGTCTCGTGGTTGGGTTGGGGTATTCCTGGTCAGTCTCGTGGCCGGGTTGGGGTATTCCTGGTCAGTCTCGTGGCCGGGTTGGGGTATTCCTGGTCAGTCTCGCGGCCGGGTTGGGGTATTCCTGGTCAGTCTCGTGGTTGGGTTGGGGTATTCCTGGTCAGTCTCGTGGTTGGGTTGGTGTATTCCTGGTCAGTCTCGTGGTTGGGTTGGGGTATTCCTGGTCAGTCTCGTGGTTGGGTTGGGGTATTCCTGGTCAGTCTCGTGGTTGGGTTGGGGTATTCCTGGTCAGTCTCGTGGTTGGGTTGGGGTATTCCTGGTCAGTCTCGTGGTTGGGTTGGGGTATTCCTGGTCAGTCTCGCGGCCGGGTTGGGGTATTCCTGGTCAGTCTCGTGGTTGGGTTGGGGTATTCCTGGTCAGTCTCGTGGTTGGGTTGGGGTACTCCTGAGTCAGCTTAATGTCCCTTGACTGCTTCCTCCCACACCCATATTTAAGCCTCAGTCCCCTGCTGCAGGGGCTGTCACAGCAGCAACTCTGGCAAAGCCTTCCACACAGCTCTTTGTCTCCCCTGCCAGCTGCTGGGGGATCCTGACTGCCAGGCTTTGAAAGGCTCACCTGATAAAATGTGGTCCCCCGACCAGTGGAGAAGTCAGCATCGTCCCAGAACGGAGCCACCAGGGCCACAGGGTCCCGGCCTGTGAAGCCTGTTGGGAGTGGGTTGGGGTAGGAGAAAATCTGGTAGTCTGACTCTGGGAAGATGATCTGGCCATTGTCTGTGAACTGAGCACATGGGTTTTGTGGTCAGCATTCAGGGAGGGAAGTGGGGAGGAAAGTCCCAGCCTTGGTCCAGCTCCTCAAAAGCGTGACCCCCAAGGGTAGAGCTTTAGAGATGCTAACAACCCCTGGAAGTCACCTCCTGTGTCCTGTTTTGGGGAGAGCCCTTTCCATATATTCTCACAGAATGCTCCGCCCTCAGGCCATCCCTTGCGTCCTCGGGTGGTAGGCTTGGTCCTGTTTCACTGCAGATCCCTGGCTGTGGACCAGCCCCTCACAGGCACACCCCTCTTGGCCAGTCCCCTGGGCCCCATCCTGAAGTTTGCGACACATTAGGTGGGGCTCAGGGAGTGGAACCCTCTCTCCATCGCTCAGGGGGTGGAGCCCTCCCTCCATCGCTCAGTGGGTGGAGCCCTCCCTCCGTCGCTCAGGGGTGTAGACACCCTCTCTCCATCGCTCAGGGGTGCAGACACCCCATCTCCATCACTTAGGGGGTGGAACCCTCTATCTATTGCTCAGCAGGTGTAGACACCCTCTCTCCATCGCTCAGGGGTGTAGACACCCTCCCTTCATCGCTCAGGGGTGTAGACACCCTCCCTTCATCGCTCAGGGGTGTAGACACCCTCCCTCCATCGCTCAGGGGTGTAGACACCCTCTCTCCATCGCTCAGGGGTGTAGACACCCTCCCTTCATCGCTCAGGGGTGTAGACACCCTCCCTTCATCGCTCAGGGGTGTAGACACCCTCTCTCCACCGCTCAGGGGTGTAGACACCCTCTCTCCATCGCTCAGGGGTGCAGACACCCCATCTCCATCACTTAGGGGGTGGAAACCTCTCTCTATCACTCAGCAGGTGTGGACACCCTCTCTCCATCCCTCAGGGGTGTAGACACCCTCCCTTCATCGCTCAGGGGTGTAGACATCCTCTCTCCATCGCTCAGGGGTGTAGACACCCCCTCTCCATCGCTCAGGGGTGTAGACACCCCCTCTCCATCGCTCAGGGGTGTAGACACCCTCTCTCCATCGCTCAGGGGTATAGACACCCTCCCTTCATCGCTCAGGGGTGCTCAGGGCTATAGACACCCTCCCTTCATCGCTCAGGGGTGTAGACACCCTCTCTCCATCGCTCAGGGGTGTAGATACCCTCTCTCCATCGCTCAGGGGTGTAGACACCCTCTCTCCATCGCTCAGGGGTGTGGACACCCTCTCTCCATCGCTCAGGGGTGTAGACACCCTCCCTTCATCGCTCAGGGGTGTGGACACCCTCTCTATCGTTCGGGGTGTAGACATCCTCTCTCCATCGCTCAGGGGTGTAGACACCCCCTCTCCATCGCTCAGGGGTGTAGACACCCTCTCTCCATCGCTCAGGGGTGCAGACACCCCATCTCCATCACTTAGGGGGTGGAAACCTCTCTCTATCACTCAGCAGGTGTAGATACCCTCTCTCCATCGCTCAGGGGTGCAGACACCCCATCTCCATCACTTAGGGGGTGGAAACCTCTCTCTATCGCTCAGCAGGTGTAGGCACCCCCCTCCATCGCTCAGGGGTGTAGACACCCTCTCTCCATCACTCAGGGGTGCAGACACCCCATCTCCATCACTTAGGGGGTGGAAACCTCTCTCTCACTCAGCAGGTGTGGACACCCTCTCTCCATCGCTCAGCAGGTGTGGACACCCTCTCTCTATCACTCAGCAGGTGTGGACACCCTCTCTCCATCGCTCAGCAGGTGTGGACACCCTCTCTCTATCGCTCAGCAGGTGTGGACACCCTCTCGCCATCGCTCAGCAGGTGTGGACACCCTCTCTCTATCGCTCAGCAGGTGTGGACACCCTCTCGCCATCGCTCAGCAGGTGTGGACACCCTCTCGCCATCGCTCAGCAGGTGTGGACACCCTCTCGCCATCGCTCAGCAGGTGTGGACACCCTCTCTCTATCGCTCAGCAGGTGTGGACACCCTCTCCATCGCTCAGTCGCCCTCTCATGCTGTGTTCGGACTCAGCCTCCTCCCTCAGGGCCACAGGAGCCAGGACTGTCCCTCCAACTCTGCTCCAGGAGGCAGGGACCAGGGGGCCAGAGACAAATCCCAGAAGGTGGAAACGGCAGGAACAGTCCAGTTTCCCAAGTGTAGCTTTTTACTCCTGAGAAGGCCCCGCAGAAGCAGCGGTGGGCCCAGCAGGTGGGCAGCCCTCGCCTGGCACCCTGTGTTCCTCAGGCAGAGGCCTGACATTAAGGAGGCTGTGGGGATGGACGAGGGGCCCAGCCAAGGCTGCTTCCATTCCCGCTTCCTCTGGGTTCCGTCTCGAAGCAGGAGAGAGAAGTGGGCCCTGGGAGTTCAGGCTGCGCGGGCCGCAGCCCGGACTCACGTAGAGGGAATCACGGAGAGAGGAGCCAAGGGGGAAGCCAGTCGCCGGCTTGAAGAGTGGGGAGGTGAAGTCCACGGTCCTCCTGACGAACTCCAGGTCCCCGGCGCCTGCCCCATAGGGGAAGAGGGAAACTCCTGGGCCAGGACAGAGAAGAGCAGGAAGTCCAAGTGGGCCTGGGCCTTCTTTAGGGCTGAAAGGGATCCCAGAGCGCTCCCTGCAGGCTGCCCACACCTGTCCTGTGTTCCCCGAGGGCCCCAGAGGCAGCCATCTAGGGTGCTTCTCGCTCCCTCTCCACCCACATTAAATGCATGTGGTCATTTTACTCCCTAAACTGCGCCTCTCATCCTTCCCCAGCTTGGAGAAAAACAGGTCCTGCTGTCAGAATACCAGCAAACGATTCTCAATCTCTTAGTCTCAATCCTTTTCAGGGTTAAAAGACAAAAGTCTATGCTGGGTGCGGTGGCTCACGCCTGTAATCCCAGCACTTTGGGAGGCTGAGGCGGGAGGATCACGAGGTCAGGAGTTCGAGACCAGCCTGACCAACATGGAGAAGCCCTGTCTCTACTTAAAATACAAAAATTAGCCGGGTGTGGTGGCGCATGCCTGTAATCCCAGCCACTCGGGAGGCTGAGGCAGGAGAATTGCTTGAACCCGGGAGGCTGAGGTTCCAGTGAGCTGAGATCGCGCCACTGCACTCCAGCCTGGGCAACAAGAGCGAAAACTCCATCTCAAAAAAAAAAAAAAAAATAGACAAAAGTCCAGCGCAATGAAGATGAGTAACTGCAAAGCCCTTTTCAGGGAATGAGACTTGTTTCCTAAGACGGCCTTTCTCCAGATAAACTTGAAGACTCCTCCAATTTAACCTAGGACTCCCTAGAGGCCCTCGGGCTCCAGTTTGAGAAACCTTGTCCCAAATATTTCTCGCAGCTGCCGACTCCTTGGCGCCCTCCCCTGGTCCTGCTTGGAAACCCGCAGGCTCTCCTGGCCTCCTCACTGCCTGCAAATCGGACCGCTCCAGGCACCACTTGTTAAATGCCATTTGTACAATGCAAAACTGAGTCCTCCCTGGCTCCCGTTGCCTACAGGATTCCCCGCATGCCGGCCGCACTTTTTGCTACCCTTCTTCTCATTTTCAGCCACCCCAAATGCTTCGGGGATCCACCCCCATGCAGCACCGGGACGACTTTCTGCAGCCATACCTACCACACTCGTACCTTCCACACCCATACCTTCCACACCCATACCTTCCACACCCATACCTTCCACACCCATACCTTCCACACCCATACCTTCCACAGTCATACCTTCCACACCCATACCTTCCACAGCCATACCTTCCACACCCATACCTTCCACACCCATACCTTCCACAGTCATACCTTCCACACCCATACCTTCCACACCCATACCTTCCACACCCATACCTTCCACACCCATACCTTCCACAGTCATACCTTCCACACCCATACCTTCCACAGTCATACCTTCCACACCCATACCTTCCACACCGATACCTTCCACACCCATACCTTCCACACCCATACCTTCCACATCCATACCTTCCACACCCTTACCTTCCACACCCATACCTTCCACACCCATACCTTCCACACCCTTACCTTCCACACCCATACCTTCCACGGCCATACCTTCCACGGTCATACCTTCCACACCCATACCTTCCACGGCCATACCTTCCACACCCATACCTTCCACACCCATACCTTCCACACCCATACCTTCCACACCCATACCTTCCACAGTCATACCTTCCACACCCATACCTTCCACACCCATACCTTCCACATCCATACCTTCCACAGTCATACCTTCCACACCCATACCTTCCACATCCATACCTTCCACGGCCATAACTTCCACACCCATACCTTCCACACCCTTACCTTCCACACCCATACCTTCCACACCCATACCTTCCACACCCTTACCTTCCACACCCATACCTTCCACAGCCATACCTTCCACACCCATACCTTCCACAGTCATACCTTCCACACCCATACCTTCCACACCCATACCTTCCACATCCATACCTTCCACACCCATACCTTCCACACCCATACCTTCCACACCCATACCTTCCACACCCATACCTTCCACACCCATACCTTCCACACCCATACCTTCCACAGTCATACCTTCCACACCCATACCTTCCACACCCATACCTTCCACAGCCATACCTTCCACACCCATACCTTCCACACCCATACCTTCCACACCCATACCTTCCACACCCATACCTTCCGCACCCATACCTTCCGCACCCATACCTTCCACACCCATACCTTCCGCATCCATACCTTCCACACCCATACCTTCCACACCCATACCTTCCGCACCCATACCTTCCACACCCATACCTTCCGCACCCATACCTTCCACACCCATACCTTCCACACCCATACCTTCCACACCCATACCTTCCACACCCATACCTTCCACAGTCATACCTTCCACACCCATACCTTCCACACCCATACCTTCCACACCCTTACCTTCCACACCCATACCTTCCACAGTCATACCTTCCACACCCATACCTTCCACACCCATACCTTCCACACCCATACCTTCCACACCCATACCTTCCACACCCATACCTTCCACACCCATACCTTCCACGGCCATACCTTCCACAGTCATACCTTCCACACCCATACCTTCCACACCCATACCTTCCACACCCATACCTTCCACACCCTTACCTTCCACACCCATACCTTCCACAGTCATACCTTCCACACCCATACCTTCCACAGTCATACCTTCCACACCCATACCTTCCACACCCATACCTTCCACATCCATACCTTCCACACCCATACCTTCCACACCCATACCTTCCACACCCATACCTTCCACACCCATACCTTCCACAGTCATACCTTCCACACCCATACCTTCCACAGTCATACCTTCCACACCCATACCTTCCACACCCATACCTTCCACATCCATACCTTCCACACCCATACCTTCCACACCCATACCTTCCACACCCATACCTTCCACAGTCATACCTTCCACACCCATACCTTCCACAGTCATACCTTCCACACCCATACCTTCCACACCCATACCTTCCACATCCATACCTTCCACACCCATACCTTCCACACCCATACCTTCCACACCCATACCTTCCACACCCTTACCTTCCACACCCATACCTTCCACACCCATACCTTCCACACCCATACCTTCCACACCCTTACCTTCCACACCCATACCTTCCACACCCATACCTTCCACACCCATACCTTCCACACCCATACCTTCCACACCCTTACCTTCCACACCCATACCTTCCACAGTCATACCTTCCACACCCATACCTTCCACAGTCATACCTTCCACACCCATACCTTCCACACCCATACCTTCCACACCCATACCTTCCACACCCATACCTTCCACACCCATACCTTCCACACCCATACCTTCCACAGTCATACCTTCCACACCCATACCTTCCACACCCATACCTTCCACATCCATACCTTCCACACCCATACCTTCCACACCCATACCTTCCACACCCATACCTTCCACACCCTTACCTTCCACACCCATACCTTCCACACCCATACCTTCCACACCCATACCTTCCACACCCATACCTTCCACACCCATACCTTCCACATCCATACCTTCCACACCCATACCTTCCACACCCATACCTTCCACACCCATACCTTCCACAGCCATACCTTCCACACCCATACCTTCCACACCCATACCTTCCACACCTTTGTTCCAGCTGTTCCCGCCCTCCTCCCTGCCTGGGGTGCTCCTCCATCCCCGGCTCTGCATTCCTTAGGGCCTTCCATTGTGTGCACTTAGACCCTGGGATGAGTCCTCTAACCGCCGCTACCGGACCGTCCATCTATCCCTTGCTGAATGGCACTGGGGTCATTTCTCTGTCTCCAGCTCCTGGCCCAGTGCCATGCACAAAGCCAGCCCTCAGGAGCGACTCCGATGCTGTGTCCCTGTCCTCGGTAAGGCCCTCCCCACCCGAGAGAGCGGAGACTGTGGGAAGTAGGCTGAGAGGGAGCCTTCAGTTACATCACCCCTCAAAAGGCACAGGCCTCACCTGTATGGCCTCACCTCTCTCAGGCAGGATGGGGATGGGGGCAGCTGTGGAGCGGGTGTGCATGGCAGTGCTGGGAATGGTGGAAATGATGGTCTGGGAGGTTGTGGGGGGTGGTGATGTGGCTGTGCGTCTCCCACCGTCTGTCTTCAGTGACGGTGTTGTCATTCCTGGACACGTGAAAAGACAAGGCGGGGTGTTTCTTACAGTAACAAAACAGGAGAGTCAAAGAGATTCAAAGAAATCAGGAGCTGGAAGAGGGAGCTGGAAACTCCTTGTCTCTCCCCTGCTCATATCCAAACTACTCTCGACATCAGTGCTTTTCGATTGCGGCACAAAGGAGGGTGAGCCTGTCACCCACCACACCCATCACCTCCTCCCCTGTGGGACCTGACACGGCCCCACCAGGTAATGCGAATGCACCAGTGTTCTCAGGTACTCCTTAGGCTGAATTCCGCCAAGGGGCCCACTGGGAGACATAAAGGCGAGGCAGTTGGCAGCTACCTGGTGTTTCCATCTTCAGAGGGGAGTCCGAGGATACTGTGGAAGCTGAGGTAGCACTGCTGACAGCAAGAGGGGTGGCGTGACCTGTGGATACTGAGGAAAGGCTGGTGACAGGAAGAGGGGTGGCGTGACCTGTGGATGCTGAGGAAGTGTCGGTGACAGGAAGAGGGGTGGCGTGACCTGTGGATGCTGAGGAAGTGTCGGTGACAGGAAGAGGGGTGGTGTCACCTGTGGATGCTGAGGAAGTGCTGGTGACAGGAAGAGGGGTGCCGTGACCTGTGGACACTGAGGAAGCGTCGGTGACAGGAAGAGAGGTGGTGTGACCTGAGGATGCTGAGGAAGGGATGGTGACAGGAAGAGGCGTGGTGTCACCTGTGGATACTGAGGAAAGGCTGGTGACAGGAAGAGGGGTGGCCTGACCTGTGGATGCAGAGGAAGTGTCGGTGACAGGAAGAGGCGTGGTGTCACCTGTGGATACTGAGGAAAGGCTGGTGAGAGGAAGAGGGGTGGCGTGACCGGTGGATGCTGAGGAAGCATCGGTGACAGGAAGAGTGCTGGTGTCACCTCTGGATGCTGAGGAAGGGCTGGTGACATGAAGAGGGGTGGCGTGACCTGTGGATAATGAGGAAGCATTGGTGACAGGAAGAGGGGTGGTGTCACCTGTGGATGCTGAGGAAGTGCTGGTGACAGGAACAGGGGTGGCGTGACCTGTGGATGCTGAGGAAGGGCTGGTGACAGGAAGAGGGGTGGCGTGACCTGTAGATACTGAGGAAGTGCTGGTGACAGGAAGAGGGGTGGCGTGACCTGTGGATACTGAGGAAGTGTCGGTGACAGGAAGGGGGGTGGCGTGACCTGTGGATGCTGAGGAACGGCTGGTGACAGGAAGAGAGGTGGCGTGACCTGTGGATACTGAGGAAGTGTCGGTGACAGGAAGAGGGGTGGTGTCACCTGTGGATGCTGAGGAAGTGCTGGTGACAGGAAGAGGGGTGGCATGTCCTGTGGATGCCGAGGAAACGTCGGTGACAGGAAGACGGGTGGTGTCATCTGTGGAAGCTGAGGAAGTGTCGGTGACAGGAAGAGGGGTGGCGTGACGTGTGGATGCTGAGGAAGTGTCGGTGACAGGAAGAGGGGTGGTGTCACCTGTGGAAGCTGAGGAAAGGCCGGTAACAGGAAGAGGGGTGGCGTGACCTGTGGATGCTGAGGAAGGGCTAGTGACAGGAAGAGGCATGGTGTCACCTGTGGATACTGAGGAAGGGATGGTGACAGGAAGAGGGGTGGCGTGACCTGTGGATGCTGAGGAAGCGTCGGTGACAGGAAGAGGGGTGGTGTCACCTGTGGATACTGAGGAAAGGCTGGTGACAGGAAGAGGGGTGGCCTGACCTGTGGATGCTGAGGAAGTGTCGGTGACAGGAAGAGGGGTGGTGTCACCTGTGGATGCTGAGGAAGCGTCGGTGACAGGAAGAGGCGTGGCGTGACCTGTGGACACTGAGGAAGCGTCGGTGACAAGAAGAGGGGTGGCGTGACCTGTGGATGCTGAGGAAGTGCTGGTGACAGGAAGAGGGGTGACGTGACCTGTGGATGCTGAGGAAGGGCTGGTGACATGAAGAGGGGTGACGTGACCTGTAGATACTGAGGAAGTGCTGGTGACAGGAAGAGGGGTGGTGTGACCTGAGGATGATGAGGAAGGGATGGTGACAGGAAGAGGGGTGGCCTGACCTGTGGATGCTGAGGAAGTGTCCGTGACAGGAAGACGGGTGGTGTCACCTGTGGATGCTGAGGAAGTGTCGGTGACAGGAAGAGGGGTGGCGTGACCTGTGGATACTGAGGAAGCGTCGGTGACAAGAAGAGGGGTGGTGTCACCTGTGGATACTGAGGAAAGGCTGGTGACAGGAAGAGGGGTGGCCTGACCTGTGGATGCTGAGGAAGTGTCCGTGACAGGAAGACGGGTGGTGTCACCTGTGGATGCTGAGGAAGTGTCGGTGACAGGAAGAGGGGTGGCGTGACCTGTGGATACTGAGGAAGCGTCGGTGACAAGAAGAGGGGTGGTGTCACCTGTGGATACTGAGGAAAGGCTGGTGACAGGAAGAGGGGTGGCCTGACCTGTGGATGCCGAGGAAGCGTCGGTGACAGGAAGAGGGGTGGTGTCACCTGTGGATACTGAGGAAAGGCTGGTGACAGGAAGAGGCGTGGCGTGACCGGTGGATACTGAGGAAGTGTCGGTGACAGGAAGAGGGGTGGCGTGACCGGTGGATGCTGAGGAAGCGCCGGTGACAGGAAGAGTGCTGGTGTCACCTGTGGATGCTGAGGAAGGGATGGTGACATGAAGAGGGGTGGTGTGACCTGTAGATGCTGAGGAAGGGCTGGTGACAGGAAGAGGGGTGGTGTCACCTGTGGATGCTGAGGAAGTGTCGGTGACAGGAAGAGGGGTGGTGTGACCTGTAGATGCTGAGGAAGTGCTGGTGACAGGAACAGGGGTGGCGTGACCGGTGGATGCTGAGGAAGTGCTGGTGACAGGAAGAGGGGTGGCGTGACCTGTGGATGCTGAGGAAGGGCTAGTGACAGGAAGAGGCATGGTGTCACCTGTGGATACTGAGGAAGTGTTGGTGACAGGAAGAGGGGTGGCCTGACCTGTGGATGCCGAGGAAATGTCGGTGACAGGAAGACGGGTGGTGTCACCTGTGGAAGCTGAGGAAAGGCCGGTGACAGGAAGAGGGGTGGCGTGACCTGTGGATACTGAGGAAGTGTCGGTGACAGGCACAGGGGTGGTGTCACCTGTGGATGCTGAGGAAGGGCTGGTGACATGAAGAGGGGTGGCGTGACCTGTGGATGCTGAGGAAGCGTCGGTGACAAGAAGAGGAGTGGCGTGACCTGTGGATACTGAGGAAGTCTCGGTGACAAGAAGAGGGGTGGTGTCACCTGTGGATGATGAGGAAGTGTCGGTGACAGGAAGAGAGGTGGTGTCACCTGTGTATGCTGAGGAAGTGTCGGTGACAGGAAGAGAGGTGGTGTCACCTGTGGATGCTGAGGAAGTGTCGGTGACAGGAAGAGAGGTGGCATGACCGGTGGATGCTGAGGAAGGGCTAGTGACAGGAAGAGGCGTGGTGTCACCTGTGGATACTGAGGAAAGGCTGGTGACAGGAAGAGGGGTGGCCTGACCTGTGGATGCTGAGGAAGCGTCGGTGACAAGAAGAGGAGTGGCGTGACCTGTGGATGCTGAGGAAGGGCTAGTGACAGGAAGAGGCGTGGTGTCACCTGTGGATACTGAGGAAAGGCTGGTGACAGGAAGAGGGGTGGCCTGACCTGTGGATGCTGAGGAAGTGTCGGTGACAGGAAGAGGGGTGGTGTCACCTGTGGATGCTGAGGAAGTGCTGGTGACAGGAAGAGCGGTGGCCTGACCTGTGGATGCTGAGGAAGTGTCGGTGACAGGAAGAGGGGTGGTGTGACCTGTGGATGCTGAGGAAGGGCTAGTGACAGGAAGAGGCGTGGTGTCACCTGTGGATACTGAGGAAAGGCTGGTGACAGGAAGAGGGGTGGCGTGACCTGTGGATGCTGAGGAAGTGTCGGTGACAGGAAGCGGGGTGGCGTGACCGGTGGATGCTGAGGAAGGGCTGGTGACATGAAGAGGGTTGGCGTGACCTGTGGATGCTGAGGAAGTGTCGGTGACAGGAAGCGGGGTGGCGTGACCGGTGGATGCTGAGGAAGGGCTGGTGACATGAAGAGGGGTGGCGTGACCTGTGGATATTGAGGAAGTGTCGGTGACAGGAAGAGAGGTGGCGTGACCTATGGATGCTGAGGAAGTGTCGGTGACAGGAAGAAGGGTGGCGTGACCTGTGGATGCTGAGGAAGTGTCGGTGTCAGGAAGAGGGGTGGCGTGACCTGTGGATGCTGAGGAAGTGTCGGTGACAGGAAGAGAGGTGGCGTGACCTGTGGATGCTGAGGAAGTGTCGGTGACAGGAAGAGGGGTGGTGTCACCTGTGGATACTGAGGAAAGGCTGGTGACAGGAAGAGGGGTGGCCTGACCTGTGGATGCTGAGGAAGTGTCGGTGACAGGAAGAGGCGTGGTGTCACCTGTGGATACTGAGGAAAGGCTGGTGAGAGGAAGAGGGGTAGCGTGACCTGTGGACACTGAGGAAGCGTCGGTGACAGGAAGAGGGGTGGCATGACCTGTGGACACTGAGGAAGCGTCGGTGACAGGAAGAGAGGTGGCGTGACCTGTGGACACTGAGGAAGCGTCGGTGACAGGAAGAGGGGTGGTGTGACCTGAGGATGCTGAGGAAGGGATGGTGACAGGAAGAGAGGTGGCATGACCTGTGAACACTGAGGAAGCGTCGGTGACAGGAAGAGAGGTGGCGTGACCTGTGGACACTGACGAAGCGTCGGTGACAGGAAGAGGGGTGGTGTGACCTGTGGATGCTGAGGAAGGGCTGGTGACATGAAGAGGGGTGGCGTGACCTGTGGATACTGAGGAAGTGTTGGTGACAGGAAGAGGGGTGGCGTGACCTGTGGATGCTGAGGAAGTGTCGGTGACAGGAAGAGGGGTGGTGTCACCTGTGGATACTGAGGAAGTCTCGGTGACAAGAAGAGGGGTGGTGTCACCTGTGGATGATGAGGAAGTGTCGGTGACAGGAAGAGAGGTGGTGTCACCTGTGTATGCTGAGGAAGTGTCGGTGACAGGAAGAGAGGTGGTGTCACCTGTGGATGCTGAGGAAGTGTCGGTGACAGGAAGAGAGGTGGCATGACCGGTGGATGCTGAGGAAGGGCTAGTGACAGGAAGAGGCGTGGTGTCACCTGTGGATACTGAGGAAAGGCTGGTGACAGGAAGAGGGGTGGCCTGACCTGTGGATGCTGAGGAAGCGTCGGTGACAAGAAGAGGAGTGGCGTGACCTGTGGATGCTGAGGAAGGGCTAGTGACAGGAAGAGGCGTGGTGTCACCTGTGGATACTGAGGAAAGGCTGGTGACAGGAAGAGGGGTGGCCTGACCTGTGGATGCTGAGTAAGTGTCGGTGACAGGAAGAGGGGTGGTGTCACCTGTGGATGCTGAGGAAGTGCTGGTGACAGGAAGAGGGGTGGCGTGACCTGTGGATGCTGCGGAAGTGTCGGTGACAGGAAGAGAGGTGGCGTGACCTGTGGATGCTGAGGAAGGGCTGGTGACATGAAGAGAGGTGGCGTGACGTGTGGATAATGAGGAAGCATTGGTGACAGGAAGAGGGGTGGTGTCACCTGTGGATGCTGAGGGAGTGTCGGTGACAGGTAGAGGGGTGGTGTGACCTGTAGATGCTGAGGAAGGGCTGGTGACAGGAAGACGGGTGGTGTCACCTGTGGATACTGACGAAGCGTCGGTGACAAGAAGAGGGGTGGTGTGACCTGTGGATACTGAGGAAGTGTCGGTGCCAGGAAGAGGGGTGGTGTCACCTGTGGATGCTGAGGAAGTGCTGGTGACAGGAAGAGGGGTGGCATGACCTGTGGATGCCGAGGAAACGTTGGTGACAGGAAGACGGGTGGTGTCACCTGTGGAAGCTGAGGAAAGGCCGGTGACAGGAAGATGGGTGGCGTGACCTGTGGATGCTGAGGAAGTGTCGGTGACAGGAAGAGGGGTGGTGTCACCTGTGGATGCTGAGGAAGCGTCGGTGACAGGAAGAGGGGTGGTGTGACCTGAGGATGCTGAGGAAGAGCTGGTGACAGGAAGAGGGGTGGTGTCACCTGTGGATACTGAGGAAGCGTCGGTGACATGAAGAGGGGTGGCGTGACCTGTGGATGCTGAGGAAGGGCTAGTGACAGGAAGAGGCGTGGTGTCACCTGTGGATGCTGAGGAAAGGCTGGTGACAGGAAGAGGGGTGGCGTGACCTGTGGATGCTGAGGAAGCGTCGGTGACATGAAGAGGGGTGGCGTGACCTGTGGATGCTGAGGAAGGGCTAGTGACAGGAAGAGGAGTGGTGTCACCTGTGGATACTGAGGAAAGGCTGGTGACAGGAAGAGAGGTGGCGTGACCTGTGGACACTGAGGAAGCGTCGGTGACAGGAAGAGGGGTGGTGTCACCTGTGGATGCTGAGGAAAGGCTGGTGACAGGAAGAGGGGTGGCCTGTCCTGTGGATGCTGAGGAAGTGTCGGTGACAAGAAGAGGGATGGCGTGACCTGTGGATGCTGAGGAAGGGCTGGTGACAGGAAGAGGGGTGGCCTGACCTGTGGATGCTGAGGAAGTGTCGGTGACAGGAAGAGGGGTGGCGTGACCTGTGGATGCTGAGGAAGTGTCGGTGACAGGAAGAGAGGTGGCGTGACCTGTGGATGCTGAGGAAGTGTCGGTGACAGGAAGAGAGGTGGCGTGACCTGTGGATACTGAGGAAGTTTCGGTGACAGGAAGAGGGGTGGTGTCACCTGTGGATGTTGAGGAAGGGCTGGTGACAGGAAGAGGGGTGGTGTCCCCTGTGGATAATGAGGAAGCATCGGTGTCATGAAGAGCGGTGGCGTGACCTGTGGATACTGAGGAAGCGTCGGTGACAAGAAGAGAGGTGGCGTGACCTGTGGATATTGAGGAAGCGTCGGTGACAAGAAGAGGGGTGGCGTGACCTGTGGATGCTGAGGAAGGGTTAGTGACAGGAAGAGGCGTGGTGTCACCTGTGGATACTGAGGAAAGGCTGGTGACAGGAAGAGGGGTGTCCTGACCTGTGGATGCTGAGGAAGTATCGGTGACAGGAAGCGGCGTGGTGTCACCAGTGGATGCTGAGGAAAGGCTGGTGACAGGAAGAGGGGTGGCCTGTCCTGTAGATACTGAGGAAGTGTCGGTGACCGGAAGAGGGGTGGCATGACCTGTGGACACTGAGGAAGCGTCGGTGACAGGAAGAGGGGTGGCGTGACCTGTGGACACTGAGGAAGCGTCGGTGACAGGAAGAGAGGTGGCGTGACCTGTGGGTACTGAGGAAGCGTCGGTGACAGGAAGAGGGGTGGTGTGACCTGAGGATGCTGAGGAAGGGCTAGTGACAGGAAGAGGCGTGGTGTCACCTGTGGATGCTGAGGAAAGGCTGGTGACAGGAAGAGAGGTGGCGTGACCTGTGGATACTGAGGAAGCGTCGGTGACATGAAGAGGGGTGGTGTCACCTGTGGATGCTGAGTTAGTGTCGGTGACAGGAAGAGGGGTGGTGTCACCTGTGGATACTGAGGAAGCGTCGGTGACAAGAAGAGAGGTGGCGTGACCTGTGGACACTGAGGAAGCGTCGGTGACAGGAAGAGAGGTGGTGTGACCTGAAGATGCTGAGGAAGGGATGGTGACAGGAAGAGAGGTGGTGTCACCTGTGGATGCTGAGGAAGCGTCGGTGACAGGAAGAGGGGTGGTGTCACCTGTGGATGCTGAGGAAGGGCTGGTGACAGGAAGAGGGATGGCCTGACCTGTGGATGCCGAGGAAACGTCGGTGACAGGAAGACGGGTGGTGTCATCTGTGGAAGCTGAAGAAAGGCCGGTGACAGGAAGTGGGGTGGCGTGAGCTGTGGATACTGAGGAAGTGTCGGTGACAGGAAGAGGGGTGGCCTGACCTGTGGATGCTGAGGAAGCGTCAGTGACAAGAAGAGGGCTGGCGTGACCTGTGGATGCTGAGGAAGGGCTAGTGACAGGAAGAGGCGTGGTGTCACCTGTGGATACTGAGGAAAGGCTGGTGACAGGAAGAGGGGTGGCCTGACCTGTGGATGCCGAGGAAACGTCGGTGACAGGAAGACGGGTGGTGTCATCTGTGGTAGCTGAGGAAAGGCCGGTGACAGGAAGAGGGGTGGCGTGACCGGTGGATGCTGAGGAAGTGCTGGTGACAGGAAGAGGGGTGGCGTGACCTGTGGATGCTGAGGAAGGGCTGGTGACATGAAGAGGGGTGGCGTGACCTGTGGATAATGAGGAAGCATTGGTGACAGGAAGAGGGGTGGTGTCACCTGTGGATGCTGAGGAAGTGTCGGTGACAGGAAGAGGGGTGGTGTGACCTGTAGATGCTGAGGAAGGGCTGGTGACAGGAAGAGGGGTGGTGTCACCTTTGGATGCTGAGGAAGTGTCGGTGACAGGAAGAGGGGTGGTGTGACCTGTAGATGCTGAGGAAGGGCTGGTGACAGGAAGAGGGGTGGTGTGACCTGTGGATACTGAGGAAGCGTCGGTGACAGGAAGAGGGGTGGTGTCACCTGTGGATGCTGAGGAAGGGCTAGTGACAGGAAGAGGCATGGTGTCACCTGTGGATGCTGAGGAAAGGCTGGTGACAGGAAGAGGGGTGGCGTGACCTGTGGATGCTGAGGAAGGGCTGGTGACATGAAGAGGAGTGACGTGACCTGTGGATGCTGAGGAAGTGCTAGTGACAGGAAGAGGCGTGGTGTCACCTGTGGATACTGAGGAAGTGTCGGTGACAAGAAGAGAGGTGGCCTGACCTGTGGATGCTGAGGAAGTGTCGGTGACAGGAAGAGGGGTGGTGTGACCTGTGGATGCTGCGGAAGGGATGGTTACAGGAAGAGAGGTGGCGTGATCTGTGGACACTGAGGAAGCGTCGGTGACAGGAAGAGGGGTGGCGTGTCCTGTGGATGCTGAGGAAGTGTCGGTGACAAGAAGAGGGGTGGCGTGACCTGTGGATGCTGAGGAAGGGCTAGTGACAGGAAGAGGCGTGGTGTCACCTGTGGATACTGAGGAAAGGCTGGTGACAGGAAGAGGGGTGGCCTGACCTGTGGATGCTGAGGAAGCATCAGTGACATGAAGAGGGGTGGTGTGACCTGTGGATACTGAGGAAGCGTCGGTGACAGGAAGAGGGGTGGTGTCACCTGTGGATGCTGAGGAAGGGCTAGTGACAGGAAGAGGCATGGTGTCACCTGTGGATGCTGAGGAAAGGCTGGTGACAGGAAGAGGGGTGGCGTGACCTGTGGATGCTGAGGAAGGGCTGGTGACATGAAGAGGAGTGACGTGACCTGTGGATGCTGAGGAAGTGCTAGTGACAGGAAGAGGCGTGGTGTCACCTGTGGATACTGAGGAAGTGTCGGTGACAAGAAGAGAGGTGGCCTGACCTGTGGATGCTGAGGAAGTGTCGGTGACAGGAAGAGGGGTGGTGTGACCTGTGGATGCTGCGGAAGGGATGGTTACAGGAAGAGAGGTGGCGTGATCTGTGGACACTGAGGAAGCGTCGGTGACAGGAAGAGGGGTGGCGTGTCCTGTGGATGCTGAGGAAGTGTCGGTGACAAGAAGAGGGGTGGCGTGACCTGTGGATGCTGAGGAAGGGCTAGTGACAGGAAGAGGCGTGGTGTCACCTGTGGATACTGAGGAAAGGCTGGTGACAGGAAGAGGGGTGGCCTGACCTGTGGATGCTGAGGAAGCATCAGTGACATGAAGAGGGGTGGTGTGACCTGTGGATACTGAGGAAGTGTCGGTGACAGGAAGAGAGGTGGCGTGACCTGTGGATGCTGAGGAAGTGTCGGTGACAGGAAGAGGGGTGGTGTGACCTGTGGATACTGAGGAAGTGTCGGTGACAGGAAGAGAGGTGGCGTGACCTGTGGATGCTGAGGAAGTGTCAGTGACAGGAAGAGGGGTGGTGTCACCTGTGGATGCTGAGGAAAGGCTGGTGACAGGAAGAGGGGTGACGTGACCTGTGGATGCTGAGGAAGTGTCAGTGACAGGAAGAGGGGTGCTGTCACCTGTGGATGCTGAGGAAAAGCTGGTGACAGGAAGAGGGGTGACGTGACCTGTGGATTCTGAGGAAGTGTCGGTGACAGGAAGAGGGGTGGTGTGACCTGTGGATACTGAGGAAGGGCTGGTGACAGGAAGAGGGGTGGCGTGACCTGTGGATACTGAGGAAGCATCGGTGACATGAAGAGGGGTGGTGTGACCTGTGGATGCCGAGGAAGCGTAGGTGACAGGAAGAGGGGTGGCGTTGCTGATGAGGGCCGTGGTGAAGGTTTTACCAGACCCTGAAGGTGACAGAGTGTGGGTCTCGGTTTGTGGAGATGTAAGCCCAGTGGATGTGATCGATGGAGGTGTGGGTGGGACTGTTGAGAAGGTGTCGGTTGCCTGGGACGCCAGGCTGATAGTGTCAGACCCTCTGCTGGTTCTTGTCCTCTGAGTCTGGGCCATCCGGGAAATGGCGGCTGTCTCCTGAGGAGAGGCACTGGGAGAAGTTGGGCTTGACTGTCCTGTCGGTCTCCCTGCAGTGGAGGCCTCAGAGAGGGTGGGATGAAAGGTGCCGGGGACGATCGAAGACGCCATTCCTGTGCTTACTGGGATGGCACCATGACTGGCTGAGGCGGACAGCAATTCGGTTGTTGACTGGGTTGTGTGACTGTCCCTGGAGGGGTTTGATGAAAACCTTGTCGTCTCTCCTGAGGTGGATATTCCTTCGCTTCCTGAAGGTGTTGTGCCACTCGCCCCGGATGAGGAAGGGGTAGCTGTGCCCGCTGAGGTGGTTCGTGACCCTGAGGAGGCCGGTTCGCTGGTCTGTGTTTGTCCAGAGGCCTCTGTGCTCTCAGCCTGGTGGGTATGGGTCATGGCTGCTGCTGTGTCAGGTGAGGTGCTGGCAGAGGCTGATGTCCATTGTCCTTCTGGGCCCCCTGGTGTTGACACTACAGAGTTGGCCAGAGTAAGGGCACCTGTTTTGGAAAGTGACGTGCCTCCTGAGGGCCCCAGGGTGGCATCATGGCTGCTGGGTGCTGCCTGCAGTGCTGTGGTCGGGGCCTGGGTTGTGTGACCATCCCCGGTGGGAGCTGGGGCAAAGGTTGTTGCTGCACTTATGGTGGGTGCGTCCTGAGGAACAATTTCTGAGGGCGAGTGCCCACTGGCTGTGAAGGAAGAACCTGGGGTGGTGACTGTCTTGGTGTCAGTCATGGGGGAGACGGACCTCGTGGTTTGTGATTCTTGTGTGGTCTGCGGGGCTTGAGTGTGACCCCTTTGGGAAACAGCTGGTGATTCCTGAGGAGAGGTGCTTGTGGAATGTATTGTTGAATGATTTGTTGATGGTGCCGTTGTAATTTGTTGGGATGTGTGTCTATCCAGCATAGGTGAAGAAGATGGGGATGTGGCCGTTTTTATCATCTGAGTCACACTGTAGCTTGGGCTGCTGAGAAGAGCCTCTCCAGTGGTCCCCGTTTCTTGTGTCCATTGTGTCTGGGCGCCTGCCCCTGTTGTTTTTGGGAGAGTTGTGCTGTGGGAGGAGTATGTGGTGGGCTCTCCTGGTTCCCCTATTGCTGAGACCTTAGAGGGGACCCTTGGAATAGTGCCAGCTGTCCCTGTAGATGGATTTCCTGTGACAAGCCTAGTGGCAGCACCTGTTGATGTTGAGGGCAGTTCTGTTTGTGACCAAGTTGTGTGGCCTTTGCTGGAGAATGAGGAAGGCCATGTTGTTGTTTCATGTAGAGTAAATATTTCTTGAGACACACCTGGAGAGAATGAGCTCCTCTCATGAGGCCGTCCTGTGGTCTCTGCACCTTCACTCTGCTGGGTGTGGAAAGCTGTGGATATTTTTGGAGGTAGAGAACTGGGGGAGAGTGCTGTTGACAGAGTGTCTGACCACCATATGGTTGAAACTTTGGAAGTGATTGCAGAAATGGTTCCACTTACAGATAGTGATGTCTCCTCTGTGTTTCCAAGAGTAGAGTCTCTGGAGGTTGGCATTCTGAACACCTTTGATGTTACCAGGAATGTATTGCTGACACTGGAAGGGGATGAGGTGGTTGTTTCACCAGAAGGGAATGTCTCCTGAGAAACTGTTCCACTTGGGTTGAATCCACTTGGTGAGGATAAAACAGTTGATGTTGTAACCGGTGTGAGGGTGTTGAGGGTGTTGATTTGAGATACTCTGGTGGTCTCCACGCTCTGAGTCTGGTGGTTCTTAGAAAAAGCTGTTGTGTCCTGAGTAGAAGTCCTTGAGAAAGTTGCTGGTGATTGTCCTTCTGGATCAAATGTTACTAAGGCTGCTGAGGTGACTGGCATAAGACTTCCAGTAACAGGTACTGATGATGTCTCCCCTGGGTTTCCAAGAGTGGAGCCTGTGGAGGTTGTCACTGTTATCTTCTCTGATGTCATCATGGATGTGTTTGTGACACTACAGAGGGATGAGGTAGCTGTTTCACCTGAAGGAGATGTCTTCTGAGAAACAGTCCCTGTCACATTGTGTACACTTGGAGAGAAAGAAGGAGTTGAAGTGGTTCTGTGTGTTAGGGTGCTGGTTTGAGATTCCCTGGTGGTCTGCGTGCTCCGAGTCCAGTGGTTCTGAGAAGAAGCTGATGTGTCTTGGATAGAGGTCCTCCAGGAAGTTGTTCGTGATTGTCCTTCCTGTCCAGCTGTTATTGAGACTGCTGAGGTCACTGGGGTAGAACTTTCAGTTCCTGCTGTTGATGTCTCTTCTGTGTTTCCAAGAGTGGAGTCTGTGGAGGTTGTCATTGTTATAGTCTTTGATGTCATCATGAGTGTGTTGGTGACACTGGAGGGAAATGATGTGGTCATTTCATCTGGAGGAGCTGTCTCCATCACATTGTGTACACTTGGGGAAGAAAAAAGAGTTGATGTCATCATCTGCGTGAGGGTGTCGGTTTGAGCTTTGCTGGTGGTCTCCGTGCTCTTAGTCTGGTGGTTCTGAGATGAAGCTGATATGTCCTGATTAGAGGTCCTTGAAGAAGCTGCAGTTGATTGTCCCTCTAGTGTCGCTGTTGTTGAGCCTGTTGAGGTGACTGGGGCAGCAGTTTTACTTCCAGTTATTAATGTGTCCTCTGTGGTTCCTGGAGTGAACCAAAATAGGCAAGCAGAGAGCTAAATCATGAATGAACTCCTATTCACAATTGCTACAAATAGAATAAAATACCTAGGAATACAGCTAACAAAGGATGTGAAAACTACCATTCTTCACAGAATGAGAACAAACTACTTTAAAATTCATATGGAATCAAAAAAGAACCCAAATAGCCAAGACAATCCTAAGCAAAAAGAACAAAGTGGGAGGCTACCTGACTTCAAACTATACTACAAGGCTACAGTAACCAAAACAGCATGGTACTGGTACCAAAACTGACATATAAACCAATGGAACAGAATAGATACCTTGGAAATAAGACCACACATCTACAACCATCTGATCTTTGACAAACCTGACAAAAGCAGGCAATGGGGAAAGGATTCTCTATTCAATAAATGGTGCTGGGAAAACTGGTTAGCCATATGCAGAAAACTGAAACTGGACCCCTTCCTTACACCTTATACAAAAATTAACTCAAGGCAGGTTAAAGACTTACATGTAAAACCCCAAACCATGAAAACCCTAGAAGAAAACCTAGGCAATACCATTCAGGACATAGACATAGGCAAAGATTTTATGATGAAATCTCCAAAAGCACTTGCAACAAAAGCTAAAATTGACAAATGGGATCTAATTAAACTAAAGAGCTCTGCACAGCAAAAGAAACTATCATCAGAGCAAACAGGCAACCTACAAAATGAGAAAATTTTTGCAATCTAACCATCTGACAGAGGTCTAATATCCAGAATTTACAAGGAACTTAAATTTACAAGAAAAAAATAAACAACCCCATCAAAAAGCAGGCAAAGGATATGAACAGACACTTATCAAAAGAAGACATTTATGCCACCAACAAACATATGAAAAAAGGCTCATCATCATGGATCATTAGAGAAATGCAAATCAAAACTACAAAGGGATATCATCTCACACCACTCAGAATGGCAATTATTAAAAAGTCAAGAAACAGCAGATGCTGGCAAGGCTGTGGTGAAATAGGAACGCTTTTACACTGTTGGTGGGAGTGTAAATCAGTTCAACCATTGTGGAAGACAGTGTGGCGATTCCTCAAGGATCTAGAACCAGAAATACCATTTGACCCAGCAATCCCATTACTGGGTATATGCCCAAAGGAATATAAATCATTCTGTTATAAAGATACATGCACACGTATGTTTACTGCAGCACTATTTACAATAGTAAAGACATGAAACCAACCCAAATGTCCATCAGTGATAGACTGGATAAAGAAAATGTGGTACATATGCAGCACGGAATACTATGCAGCCATGAAAAAGGAATGGGATCACGTCCTTTGCAGGTACATGGATGAAGCTGAAAGCCATCATCCTCAACAAACTAACAGGGGAACAGAAAACCAAACACTGCATGTTTTCACTCATAAGTTGGAGTTGAACAATGAGAACACATGGACACAGAGAGGGGAACAACACACACTGGCGCCTGTCAGGGACGGGACAAGGGGAGGAAGAGCGTCAGGATAAATAGCTAATACATGCAGGTGATGGGTTGATAGGTGCAGTAAACCACCATGGCACATATATACCTGTGTAACAAACCTGCACGTTCTGCACATGTATCCTGAAACTTAAAGTAAAAATGAAAAGAAATAAAAAGAAAAAATGAAAAATTAATATATCACAACTGTACATATTTGGGGGATAAAAAAATAATAAGAGATGGGGCCGGGCATGGTAGCCCCACCTGCAATCCCAGCACTTTGGGAGGCTGAGATGGGTGGATCACTTGAGGTCAGGAGTGCGAGACCAGCCTGGGCAATATGGCAAAACCCCGTCTCTACTAGAAAAAAAAATACAGAAATAGCTGGGCGTGGTGGTGGGTGCCTGTAATCCCAGTTACTCAAAAGGCTGAGGCAGGAGAATTGCTTGAACCCAGGAGGTGGAGGTTGCAGTGAGCAGACATCATGCCACTTCACTGCAGCCTGGGCGACAGAGCAAGATTCTGTCTCAAAAAAAAAATAAATAAATAAAATAAAAAAGGAGAGAGAGATGGGGGTGCAGGATTCCCACAGAGGAAGGCCCCTGATAAGCACTGCTTCAAATCGCCTAGAAAAAGCACAGTTGCAGGAATATAGCCAATGGTCTTCTCCAGCTCCCGCCTGTCTTCCTTGTGAGGAGGAAGGTGAGGTTAGACTAGAATGGTGAATTAACTGTGTTAAACTCCATGGGAAGAGGCAAACAGTACCCCTGCTATAAGCCGGGTTAACTCTCTCAACTTGAATTATAGCATTATCTTTCTTAAAAATAAATTAAATTTCTACTTTTCTTTTTCGTTGTTAACATCTGTGCCAATCTGGTAAAAAACCCAAGGGGTAAATGCATATACTCTTGCCCTGGTCACAGACTACCAAGAAGCTAATATTATTGACCATAACCACTTTTTAAAAAAAAATTATTTCCCAGGCAGAGGCCAGGCATGGTGGCTCATGTCTGTAATCCCAGCATTTTGGGAGGCCAAGGTGGGAGGATCACTCGAGGCCAGGAGTTTGAGACCAGCCTGGGCAAGATAGCGAGACCCTGTGTCTTAAAAAATAAAAATAATAATAATAATAATAAAAATAGATATTAAATAAATAAAGAAAAATATTTCCCAGGCAGAATGTTTAAATATTGGCTTTTTTTGTTTAAAATATTTCACAGCACCTGCACTAGCCACATACCATCTTCGTGAATATTACCTTAGCCTCTGAGTCTCTGAACCAAGAAGAAACCAAGAAAACTTGCCTTTTTTTTTCTCTTAGAAACTGACTCTTTTGGGTTTTCATTAGTTCCCTAGCTGTTCTCAAACTTCTTTCTTTTTTCTTTTTAAACATATATATATAGAGAGAGAGAGAGAGAGAAGAAAGAGAGAGAGAGAGAAAGAAAGAGAGAGAGAGAAAGAGAGACAGGGTCTTCTGTCACCCAGGCTGAAGTTCAGCGGTGTAATTGGCCTTCTGAGTAGCTGGGACTACAGGCACACACAACCATGCCTGGGTAATTTTTTTATTTCTGTAGAGGTGGAATCTTGCTATGTTGCCTAGGCTGGTGTCGAACTCCCGGCCTCAAGCGATCCTCCTGCTTCAGACTCTCAAAGTACTGGGATTAAAGGTGTGAGCCACCGCTCCCACCCTTTTTTTCAACCTCAGTGCTCCTAGATAGTTGGCAAGATGATACTCAGAGAGACAAAGTCTCAGGGAAGAATTC